>NC_000005.10:18489638-18792669 GCF_000001405.40 Homo sapiens | reverse complement strand
CCCATCTGAGCAGCATAGCTTGGGATCCTGTTCATGATGCCAATAGTTATGCCAAGTGTCGGTTCCAGCCCAAACTGAGGACGGAGGGGAGTGGGTGGACCAGTGGCAGGTAACTGGGAAAACACTCAAGGAATCATAGACAGTTTACACATGGCTATTACTCTCTCTGGGCACCAGCAAGTCTGGGCATGAGTCATGGGCGCAAGTTGTATGTACAGCATCAGCAGAGCAGTTTTACCTTTTAGACAATAGTGGCTCCGAGCCAAGCATGAGCTCATGTGGGTTATCACCTAATGCGCCTCACATGGTGTGTTTACCTAATGTGCGGAGTTGTGTGCCTGTGCTCCAAATCTGCTGAGTCAGGCTGTGCCAGAAAGCTGCCTTGGCCTACTCCTGACTAAAGTACAGCCATCTCCCTTACGTCTGTAATTCCAGCACTTTGGGAGGCCGAAATGGGAGGATTGCTTGAGGCAAGGAATTTGAGACCAGCCTGGGCATCAGAGCAAGAACTCATCTATACAAAAAAAAAAAAAATTAAATTAAATTAAAAATCAGCTGAGTATGGTGGTGCATGACTGTAGTCTCAGCTGATTAGGAGGCTGAGATGGGAGGATTACTTGAGCCCAGGCTGCAGTGAGCTATGATCACACAACTGGAAAAAAGAAAAATAAGAGGAAGTAGCATTGGTGAAACAATTCACGGCAATAATAACAATATAAGGCACTTTTAGAAAAACAGATTGCTTCAAAGAGTTGGACCAAGATTAACAAATAAGACAGAAAGCAATCTAAACAATATTCAAAAACATCAGAAGATAGGATGATAAAGAGAATTTCATGTAATCAGAATGTTAACTATTGTGGCCGCAGATGGAAAGAGTGAAATTTACCATAAAAATCTGTGAATATAATTTAAGCCACCTGGTTGTATTTAAGTCTCATAATTATAAACTATCATAACTGAACTTACCAAGCCACAAAGCAAAGGAGACTTTTTTTCAAGGGATCTAGTATCCCAAGAGAAGTCATCTTAAGCCTTTTTGGTCACAGTAAGAAACATAAAACTTTTAAAGCTAGAATCTGGTGTCTACAGCTTAGAAGGCTGCAAAATGGACTTTTAATAATTTTTACAACGTCTTTAAAACTTTTGAACTGATATAATATGTATAGTATTATATGGAAAAAAGAAACAACATATCTCAAATATTTTCTTATGGCCAATCTATGTATATAATTTGTTTGTAAATTTTTCCTTGATAAAGCATATTACTGTGTATCAATATCAGTTTCTTAAATGAAAAGATTAGTATTAAAATGGGGATGAAGCTGTTAGCTTACAGGAAAGTCGTCCCCATTAATAGAGGAAACCTGTGATATTAGAGAAGGAAACAGTTAAATGAGGCCCTGTCGGGGGTTAAATAGCAATTTCAGGGCAGGAAACTCACTCTGCATTTTTCAATGGTTGTTACCATTAAGTAGGTGTTGTTCAGGGCTCCAGTTTCTTTGTTCATTTATCATCATCATCTGAAGTAGATTATGGCTAATGATGGGTAAATATGTGGCAGCGATTTGGATTTGTGAGGATGTTTATTTGTCTGTTGAACATGAAGTTGTGTTAATACTGTCATTTTTCAACCTTCCCCAAGTTGTAGTGATTTATACCCATGCAGATTTTTTAAGTGGAAATTAATTTTTTACCATCAATTTACTTTTCCATTGAGTAATTTAGGGATGTTAGTTTAAAATGTAAGAATAAAATTAACTCTCAGCAAAGTAACTGAGTCATTCACTTAGATTGTATTTTTCTATAAAGAGAGAACTTTCAAATGTTCATAAATTCATATTAATTTTGCATTAAAATTAATATAAACATTCAGATATTGCATTTACTTCCAACCCATATAAATCTTTTAAAATGTATATAATTTTGTCTCCTTTTACCAATCATGTCAGTTGATATTTATTTAGAGATGGCCTTGTCACCAAGCAACTTTGTATAGCTTCATACCACTTAGCAGGGTAGATTTTAATAAATCTTTAAACATGACTGCTTCAAAATAATTGACTTCTGCTTCAAGTATGACACTAATTTTTCACTATCCAAAAACAAACAAATACATTTGAGAACTATTCTACTCTTCAAATAAATAAGTTCATTAGTATATGGAATATTGATTTGATGTTTAGTCTTGCTGTTCATCATGTTAATTTTAAGTTGTTTTATTTGAATTATCATTTTCATTTGTTAATGCACTATTTTATCTATTAATAACTCACTCAAATACAGAGGAAACATTACAATTTATACCTATTAAAACAAAAAGAATATATTAAAACCATGGAAAAAAGCAAAAACTTACTTATTTAAATCTTTCTGGAAGAATGTTGTATATTATTGTTTCTACTTTACCAGTGAAGTGTTCGAAAGATAAGAAAATCATCTAGAATTAATTAAATAGAGGCCAAAACAAATATGTTTTTCAGATTATGCCTAGATTTTCTACATGGGTTTATTATCATACTTGTTTTTCACACACATACATAAAATAAATTATGTCTTCAATGATATGTTTGAGGCTCAAAATATATCTATCTTAGAAAAACTATGATTATATATTGCCCAAAAGATGGATGTTTTAGAAGTAGAAAATGGTTGCCTTTACAAACTGGATTCCTGTTGTAGATTACAAAACCTAGACTCTGAATAGATCTATGAAGTTATATTTATAATCAAGTTTTCAGTAGTGCAAGTCACACCTTCACTTCCTGTCAGCTGCTGGATGAGGATTTTCAGTGACTGGGGGAGCCCACTTCCACCTAAAGTACTCCCAGTACCATTAGCCTGTGCATTACATTGTTTCCAGTAACTTCCTTCTGGTCACCTTTCTCAGGCTGAATTCTAAATGGTGCTAAGTTCTTGCATAACATTTAAATATATGGAATGCATACCTCCTATTATTTTCTTTAGTTCTGGACACTATTCCATTAATAATATAACCAGAAATCTTATCATCTTATTTTAAGTCACCTCATAATGCTACCAATAACTGTACCTGTGTTTTGGAACCATAAATCTATTGTTAAGTATATTTAATACTCTTATGATATAATTTCACATTGCATTTCTCTAAATATGTTACGTACACAACATTCTCTTTAGCTTCAGTTCCAAAATACAGCTGCCCTGAGGGTTAGGACTTCAACATATGAATTTTGTGGTATGTGGGTGGGGATGTGGTAGACACCCATATTCAACCATAACAGAAGATCTGCAGTGCTTCAGGCCACTAGTCTGTATTCTGATCATCTGAGGTGTAGTAGCACTAGATCATTTAGGACACTGGACCAAACAAGCTCATGATCTTGGGCTTCACTTTCTTTTCTATGACCCTGCATCAGGGTTTACTCCATTAATCCAAAAGTTTATTCCACTTTTATGCTCTTTATCTTGTATGCTCAACTCATTTTCATACAATTGAGAGTGTATATTATGCCACTCCTAGTACGTTCTTCAGAAATATTTGTAAACATCCTCCACTAATTAATAAAAAGCTTATACTACAATAGATCATGTATCCAAATTAAAAGGATGTTTGTTTTCAAAATAATTGTTAGTGTAGCATTGAAAGAGCTTGTACCAAATATTCGGTTAATGCATGCCATTTGGGGAATTCTTGTCATGTTTTTAAAAGTAATATATTTTTATCACTCTGGGAACTAGTGAAATTAAACAATTAAACTTATAAACATCTAAAATTTAAAAACAAAATTATGACAATAAAAATTACTGCACTCTGCCGTCTGCTTACATTTCTGTTTAATGTGCCAAATCATAATTTGCAGACAGAAATTGTTTTTTGAAGCTGCATAATTAAACTTTAAAATAAAAATACTTTATTTATAAACTACTAATGCTGACTTCATTGTTACTGGCAGTAAAAGTTTGGATTTGGGGAGGAAGAAAAGAAGTATGTAGAAGAGAATATCTCACAAATAGGCAGGTAAGGAAGTGCTACAAAATTTTCAAATTTAAATATAAAGCACCATTTTATTAATACTTGTCCTCTCAATGCCAATTTCTCAATTGGTTTTAATAATCTTTACAAGCATTAAGTAATCCTTTTCATAAATTCTTACATGAACTGTAATAAGGTATTTCACTAGAAGTAGTATAATGGACGAATACAACTTGTATGTATTTGCAAAAGACAGAAATACATTCACAGTAAATACAAATAATACGCACTGGGTCAAAGAAGACAAATAGAAGATGCAAGACCACTGTCCTCATCTGCATTTGGTTTTAATTGTGACTGTCTTGAGAATAGTTATTTTGTACTTTTCCTTTAAAACTTTATCTCATGAAGCTCCCTTCGCAGGCTTTACTTATTCTTTTTCCAGTTTGGATAGCCTAATTATGGATTACCTTCACAGAAAACGTGTGATGCTTAGGGAGGAAGAAATCTTCGAGCATAGGGGTCAATGGCTGTGTTCAAGTCAGCTAGAACAGTCTGGCTCACAATAATATAGCTCTATTTCATGGAACATTTATTATTACAACAACTAAATATGGCATTTCTTCAGCTTGGTAAAGGTGATAGAATGCCTCCTGTAAATATTAATAACTTCACAGTCTTCATCTTGCAAGTACATTTCGCCTGATACATTTGAATTTATAAAAAATATTTTTAGAATTAGTACCTCATTACATAGGAATATATTTAATGTAGATTCTCAGTGGAATTATTATAAAAGCATTTTCAGACCCCTAAACATTTTGTAAGATATATCTCAAGACACCACATACCATTTTTTGAGTTTCTGCCAAGTGTTTTCCTTGCCTGTGTGTAAATACCTCAATTTAAGAATGCTTTTTCACAAGTGCATGTTGTTTAGTGAGTTTATGACTATGACTTCATTTGTGTTTATTTTCTTCCATCACTATGTATTGGAGAAAACAAAAAATTGAGCAGTGATGCCCACAAATTCCTGAGAATTTAACACAAAGCCAGAGCATATGCTGTTACTATAGTTATATGTAATAAAACTGAAGCCTTTATACATTATTTTCCAATACAATATATATGAGCTTTTCTGATGCAGAGAATTATACATCAATTTTTTCAATGAGTTTTTATTATAGCCATAGGCATTTATTGTGTGTATTTGTGTGTGCGTGTATATATATATACACACAAATAGACATGTAAAGCATATATATATATATTATATATATATATATATACATGCACACAAATACACCATCTGGCATAAATGCAGATATAGATAATATAGATATAAATATAGATATAGATGTAGATATAGGAAAGGATTACAGACAGGATTACAGAAAATAAAGCTATTTGTCTCATTTCACAGTACAAAATCAATAATATGGGAAGAACATATATATAAATATTCTAAATAAACCTGCTTATTTACAAGTTACATGGTATTATAAGAAGAAAATATTTCCTGTGAATTTTTATTTTAAAAGTGAATTGTGATTTTTTGATACATCATTTATCCAAAACATATTTCATGAGTGTTTGAAATGATTGTGTGTTTTTGTTTATATATGTGTTCATTTTGATATTGATATATTCTATTTATTTTCCTTTTTTCCTTTGACTGCTTGTTCCTTTTGCTTGTTTCCTTTGGCTCCTGTTCTTTTCTTAAGAAAATTTGCTGTTAGTCTTATACAATAGTAAAATTCACAAACTTTTTGTTGTTTCCTGTGTTTCTTGAAATTTGCTTTATAATTGTTGGCTATATAATTAGGTACAGACTAGTCCAGAATTATTATAGTTTCCGAATGGATTGTAATTTCATTAAAAATATTTGTCCTCCTACTTTTTAAAAAAAAATTTGTATGTCTGAAAATATTTTTATGCTACTTTTATTGTCTACTATAACTTTGGCTGAGTGGAGGATTCTGTGTTTAAAATTATAATTTTATTCCATATTTTACAAAATTATTTTCTTCTGGTAATTAGTGTTATGATTTAAAGTATCATGGCAATATATTTATTAATTATCCATAAATAATAATTTATGTTGCTTTATAGAAGCTTTTTGGGTCTTTTTTTGCCATTAGCAAGAATAAGCAGTTTTACTTCATTAGTTCTAATGTAGGTCTCTTTCTTTTCTAAATTTGTTGTGTTGGACACTCAGTGTGACCAATAAATAATTAATTAAATAAATTAATTAAATAAACTGAAATAATTAATTCATAAAAAAAGATTATTGACAGATATATTTTCTGTACTGATAAAATTAGACTATTTTAGAAGTATTTATTATTTTTAGACATGAGAACTGGCAAATTGACTTCTAGCACATGGCTACAAAGCAGGCCTTAATATAGGCAAAACTTTCTATGTACTTGTTGCTACCTATGCTAGTAGAAATAAATTGTCAAGGTTATTATATTAACCAATAACCCACATAAGAAAAAATGTTTGGGTCAAATATAGTTATTTTTATGTCAGTTTTAAACTTCCGCTTACTCGATCTTCCAGAGTAATAACCTGATCGCGTTACCTTCTTGCAGAAACCAGTGAAGAGTTGTTGCTGGCACAGAGGGAAAGGGTCATTTGTTAGTAATGCAGATGGCTACTAGGAGCTTAAGAGTGGCCTCTAACAGGCTGGGCGTGGTGGCTCACGCCTGTAATCCCAGCACTTTGGAAGGCCGAGGTGAGCGGAACATGAGGTCAGGAGATCGAGACCATCCTGGCTAACACGGCTAGCTTAAAGCTGGCAGAGACTCAGTTTTACAGATTCAATTAAGGGACCTAATGCAAACTGTTGTTTCCCATAACCCATGGTCCCCAGAAGAAGGCACACTAGACCTAGAGGTCTGGGAACAAGTGGGGAGAAATCTTAAATGACATAATGAGCAAGGGCAATGGGTCCCAGTAACATCTTTAATATTATGGGCCTTAGTCAGGGCTGCTTTGAACTCACTCTACACTGAAGAGCCTAAAAAGGGAAGGGAGGAGGAACTATCACCTACCTTACCACCTCCTCCTCCTCCCTTAGCCCTGCCGTTACCAGGTAAAGATACATAAGAGGAAACAGAGGTTTCTCCAGAACCCCCTCCCCCAATAAATTGGAAAAAAGACAAGGGATACACTACAGTTATGGAACCCTATCTTGGGCAAGTGACATTATAAAGGGGAGCTCTTGGCTTGCCTGGTGATACAAGATTAACAAGGCAATCAGGTACATGAACCCATTACTTTCACCACTTATAAGGAAATAAGAAAAAGCGTTAGAGAAAATGGAGCCGCTAGCCCATTTATGAAAGGATTAATTCAGCCCATAGCAGAAAACTTCCATATAATCCCATGGGCCTGGGCAGTATTAGCTAAAACAACTTTAAAAGTCAGTCAATGCCTCCTCTGGAGGGCAAAATTTCATAAATTGTGTGAACAACAGGCCAACCAGAATAAATTGGTCAGGCAAAACATAATGGCTGCAATGCTGCAGGGGAGGGGTCCCTATGTTAATATACAACCTCTAATCATGCCCATCCCTGTTAATCTTTGGGGATGGGACCTATTAGCCCAATGGGGGGGTCACCCTGCAGACCCTTTTCTAATAATGGCTACTGTTGTGATTCCTCCACTACCCCTAACATGGCTCTATCAAAATCCATTTGGGTAGAACAGTGGCCTTTACAGGGAGAGAAATTACAATGGGCCCATGAATTAGTTGAGGAACAATTAAAAGCAGGCCATATAGAACTATCAAACAGCCCTTGGAATTCACTGATTTTCGTCATTCCCAAAAGATCTGGTAAATAAAGACTTTTGCATGACTTAAGTGCTATCAATGCTTATTTGCAACCTATGGGGCCCCTTCAACAGGGGCTCCTTTCCTCTGTAGTGATTCCTCGAGATTGGCCTATAGTCATTATTGACTTAAAAGACTGCTTTTATACTATTCCCCTTGCAAAACAGGACAGATAATAATTTGTGTTTACAATACCAGCTATCAATAATAAAAGGCCAGCTTGCCAATTTTATTGGAAAGCAATTCCTCAAGGAATGATAAACAGTCCTACCATGTGTCAGTATCATGTAAATCAGGCTTTGCTTCCCAGTAAAAAAGAATTTCCTAATTGCAAGATCATCCGTTATATGGATGACATCTTACTTGCAGCCCCAAACAGCCAATACTTTTGAATTTATATGTCTCTGTCAAAAGGAATACACAGTTAAGAGGTTTCATCATAGCTGCTGAAAAAGTACAGATGTCCTCTCCTTGGAAATATCTTGGATACATATTAACTTCCTGGTCAGAAAGACCTCAGAAGGTTAAATTGAATACTAACAACTTACACACCTTAAATGATTATCAAAAATTACTGGGCGATATTAACTGGCTTTGCCCCACCTTGAGCATAACTACTGATAAATTACAAAGCCTGTTTTCTATCCTAAAGGGCAATGCAGCCCAAATTTACCTAAATAATGTCAGTTAACCCAAAGACTAGCCAAACAAATTATCCTGCAATGCCCAAATTGCCAGCTTACAGGCATGTCGCCTCCTTCAACAGGTGTTAACCCTAGAGGACTGAAACCTAATCAGTTATGACAAACAGATGTTATACACATCCCTGAATTTGGAAAACTTAGATATGTACATGTATCCATTGATACCAATTCCCACTTAATTAGCTCACATGCTCTTCCTGGAGATTCCACCCGATATGTCATTAAACATCTTCTCTTAACTTTTGCATTTATGGGGTGGCCCACAAAAACTAAAACTGATAATGGTCCAGCTTACACCAGCTCACAATTTCACCAATTTTGTCACACATGGAATGTCCATCATTCCACCGGTATCCCGTATAACCCCCAAGGACAGGCCATAGTAGAATGTGCCCACTCCATCATTAAAAATATGCTCAGAAAACAAAAAAGGGGGAATACGAGTAAGGACCTGCAACACTACTAGCACAAGCCTTATTTACCCTTAATTTTTAAAATTTAAATGATAAATTTCATTCAGCCATAGAATAGCATTTGGCAAAAGCCTCTCAAGACATAAAACCCACGGTTTTATGGAAAGATGTAAATAGTAATGGATGATGTGGTCCAAATGATTTGCTAATGTGGAGAAGAGGATATGCTTGTGTTCACACACACCGTCAGTTCGTCTTTGGATTCCAGCATGACACATCAAACCATACCATGGCATGGCTGGGACCTAGCCCTGTACCAGAAATGAAGGAAATGACCCTGAAGGATCCACAGCCCTGGACAATGCAGCTTGCTCACACAATACGAGCCCGGACATTACCTGGGGGATGCTGAAGAAGACAAATCAGGAGGCTGAGTGAATCCTGCTCCAGACACAGACACCATTCACTCCAGATAATTTGTTCCTTGCTATGCTTTCTGTTGTACATTGCAACTCTCATAGGGTATTAACCTGTTTTATTTTCTCACTCTGCCTGCAACCTGCACCTGCTACTCTCTACTGGGCCCATCTTTTGGATCCACCTTTCTTCCACCCTGTTACCTGGGCAGACACCCCTGTCCTAGCCTCTAATAATGTAACTGCTTGACTGGGAGGGGTTGACGTACCCCCATTGGGGTTCCTTAGTAACAACACACATTGGACTGAAGTACCAAGTAACACTACATATCACTCCTTGATTGGAAAAGAATAATACTGATTATACTCATGTTTGTCTTATGTTATTTACTAATTATAGGATGCAAAGCCAAAACATGAGCTGTAACCGCTGCTCCTGTCAAACCGGTCTCTGCACATATCTATACTCTTCAATCAACAAAACCTGATGCAAAAAAACAGAAAAGGGGGAGATGTAGGAGATTGGTCAGAGTAGTGGGAGAAATTATAGGGAAAGGAGCAGGCCTTCTAAAAGTTTGGAAGGCTCTGCATAGCTCTGGGGGACAATAAGCTGAAGGCAGCTCTTTTACCCTGAGGCAGAGGGTGAGGAATAGCTACAAGGGGGTGTAGGGGAATTTATCTTAAATAGGCTTGTTATCTGGAACTTATGTTGTCCGGAAACTGACCTTTGATCATCCGCAGGCGTGACTGCTCCCTGTAAGGGGGAACAATAATGTTAATTACCCACAGATTGTGTTGGCTTCAGACTTTCGGCATTATGTCTGCACTGAATAAAAGCAAGCAGCTCCAGCTGTTCCAGACAACTCACTCTTGGGCCACTAGTGCCGGGAAGTCCCCTAGCTGCTCTTACATTGCATACCTGTGTCTGAGTATTCCTTTCATCCAGCAGGTACCCACAATCATGGAAAACTATGCATCATTTTAAGAACAAGCCAAGTCCAAATGCATGGTCTTCACTTTTTTTTTATTTCTGTGGTGGGAAACAAGTGACTCATGGACTTCTGAAGTCAAGCAGTTATTAAGTTAGCAGTTTTTATTACCTTAGACTCTATAACATGGAGGATCTCTCCCCTAAATGCTGGCTAGCTGCTACTGTAAACTTGTTTCGAGGTGATGAACACATTAAAACTGTGAGATCACATGGCTGCTCCTGAGAATTTTACATAACAGAGAGTGATAGAAGGGCACATTAATATCTTTCCATTCTCATCTTAGGCATTGAATAAACCTCAGGGACATTATCTGAATAGAATTCTACCTCACCTTGCTATACTTGACTTCTAAATGCCCACCCAGTTCAGAAGCAATTATATGTATCACTGAATTAAAACACTATTTGAATTAACAATTAATATATAAAATTGTCAGTTTTTGAGGAAGTATGAAACCATGAAAACTGAAATACCATATTTTAATGGTTTTGGATGAACTAGAGAACCCTGAATATAAAGCCTGTCTGTTCTATTTCCCACTGAACTTGTCTTCTAAAGAAGAAGCTAGTAATCGTCCTCTCTCCCCTAATTGTGAACTCACAAAGCCAAGCATTTAAATTCAATATGGCTCTAAAGAGAATATTCAGGATGAGTGTTAGCAAAAAAATATATAGTCAGAAGAAAATCAGAAGTTTGAGAGTTTGTACTGAAAAGGAAAAAAAAACCTTCACAAGCAAACATTTTTAGAGGGTCTTACTAAAAGCTCTGGCAGTTTAGAGACAAAAAGTAAATCAATATAGCAAATAAAAGAGTAAGATTTGATATGAAGTAAAAATCCAAAATTTCTTACACACTTTACTCATTTGATGAAAAAAATATTTAAAAATGCAACCACATTTAAAAAGTAATATATCAAAGAGAAAAAATATGTATCATTGAATATAAAAAAAAAAATCAGGACCTTAAAGAAACTACAAAAAATTTGTATGAAGTACACTGAAAGAGATTTAGAAGACTATTGAAAATGAATCTTAAGACAAAGGAGTAATTATATTGTAACTTTAATTAAAATTTTTAAATATAGTAAGTGTAAGTAAATTAATAAAACAAAAAATAATGCATAAAAACATTTGGATTAGAAATTTAAAAACAATTTATTTGCAGGTTATATGATTACATAATTATAAAATACAAAATATTTTAAAGACAAAATATTAGAAATAATGAGAGTTTAGCAAGTTGGCTAAATCTAAAATGATTATAAAAAACAAGCTATACTTCTGGTATTCAACTCATAATAGTTATCAAATAGAAATGTAATTAAAGAGAAGAGAATACTTGGCCAGATGCGGTGGCTCATGCCTGTAATCCCAGCACTTTGGGAGATCAAGGAGGGTGGATCACTTGAGGTTGGGAGTTCAAGAACAGCTGGCCAACATGGTGAAACCCCGTATCTACTAAAAATACAAAAATTAACCAGGTGAGGCTGCGGGTGCCTGTAATCCCAGCTACTCAGGAGGCTGCAGCAGGAGAATCATTTGAACCCAGGAGACAGAAGTTGCAGTGAGCTGAGATCATGCCATGCATTCCAGCCTGGGTGACAGAGCAAGATGCCATCTCAAAAAAAAAAAAAAAGGAAAAGAATACTAGCTAGCAAAAAAAAAAAAAAAAAAATCAAATACCTAGTAATACATCTAGTAAAGTATATAAAACATTATTATGGATTAGTACTGTACTTTATTATTCTAAGACACAAAAACAAGACTTAGTTGAGAAATATATCATGATTGTTAAGAGAAAGACTTAATATATTATTTAATATAGTAAATATCTCCTTTCTCTGGATCTGCAATTTATGGCTAGTGTGCCAAATTTAAAGATAACTTTTTTCTTTTTCATAACTCTGATTTGTTTTTAAGAAAATTAAGACCACGTAAATTAAAAATTTTTAAATAAAAAATCTGTTATAAATTTGTAAATAAAAAGTGTGGGCAGAGTGTTGTAAAAGTTTATAATGACTTAACATTTATTATCTTTTGAAACTGGCATACCCAATATTAATGACAAATACATTTCATCCTAGGATTTCCTCTCCTGTAATTATTTCTATTTTAGCCATATGTAATGTCATTTTCTGATTCAATTGTACCTGTTCCAGATTCTACACACTGTGTTTTAGCTTTCCAGTTCCCATTTTGAATTTAACAGATTTCAATTGAGAATGTGAGTCCCATATATACATTGCCATTTTACAATGCCAACTTGACACAAACTAGAAACAGAACACTGGTTTTACTAGATCAGAAGGAAAAATGAAAAATTATCTCAAAACAATGAATTATTTTAAAAGTTTTTTAAAAA
Organism: Homo sapiens; assembly: GCF_000001405.40. NCBI lineage: Eukaryota > Metazoa > Chordata > Mammalia > Primates > Hominidae > Homo > Homo sapiens. The sequence goes on along the minus strand of NC_000005.10, from coordinate 18,779,987 downwards.
GCAAAATAAAACCCAAAAAAGAATTTCAGCCATATAATCTATAGGTCTTTATAATGTCAATTCACATCAATGCAATTGTAATAATCAAGTTAGCACCACAATATCTTTGGAGATTAGTTTTATACCTACTTTATTTGTATGCATTTCCATATTGTATATAAGATGAGATACTAAAGAAAGTAACTCTCTATGCCTTTGCTGTGGTTTCAGTGTGTCCCTCAAAAGTTCATGTGTTGAAAATTTAATTCCTCAAGGTGACAATGTTAGGAGGTACAATGTCCTTCCAACACTGGGAGGTGTTTATGTCATGGGGCCTCTGCCCTCATGAAGAGATTAATGCAGTTCTTGCTAGACTGGGTTACTCCTCCAGAGAACGGGTTGTTATAAAGTGGATTGGCCTGCTTTCTTGCCTCACTTTCTTATACTTTCTCTCTCTTGCCATGTGATGTCCTCTGTCATGTTATGACACAGCAAGATGCCATCATTAGCAGTTAAGCAGACACTGAGATGCCAGCACCATGTACTTGGACTTCCCAGCCTCCAGAGCTGTAAGAAATAAATTTATTTCATTATAAATTACCCAGTCTTTGGAATTCTTTGAAAGCAACAGAAAACACACTAAGATAGCCTTACAGTTTATTTGATAGTTGATTATTTCTGCAGCTGGACTTCACTTCAAAGCTACAAGGGATACTATTTGCTACTTAACCTACAATTTTTTCTTCATGTATTTCTATTTGTGTACTTCAATTCATATTTATTTTTCCACATTGAAACTCATTTTTCTTGCTATGTTATGTATGTTCTGTAAGCTATCATAAATCTTAAATTTTTATATACTCCAAAACAAAATATAAATCTATTTTATACCACCCCCACACACACATGGAAAAGTGATTTATTATATAAATCAATTCAATATTATAATTTATCTCATAAAAACTTTTTATCTTATAAAATGTACATCATACAAAAATATTTATGACTATTTTACAAAATGAACATAAAGTAAATTGATCTTTTTACATCTTTTCCATTTTTTGCAGTTGCAGTCTTAAACAGGGTTAGAAGTATAGAATGGGTACAAATGCATGCTCTATTCCTCAAAAGATAGTATCTTTGATTGAGATATTTAACCTCTGTGCCTCTAATATCTGATTTTTTAAACAGAAAAATGCTGGCATCTATCTAATAAAGTACGGTAAATATCTATTGAAATTATGCATATAATGTTCTCAAACAGTGCCTAAAAATTAATTAAGACAATGGACAGGATTCTCCCCTATTGTCTATACAACACTTCTTCATGATGGAAAGCTACTGGGAATGTCTAAATTTATAACTAAGTATATCAGGAAATACATAGTCATTGATGAGCTTTTTGCAGTTATTTAGTATCCAACAATTTTCAAAGTCCAATAGTTAAGGGAGAATTCTTACTTAAAATAAGAAGAATAAATGGCTATAATAGAGTAATTTTTTAAATCTTTGACTTTCTACTAAAACAGACTCCTCAGTCCTTCTGAAAGGGTCATTGTCTTCAACATGTTTGCTCTAAACACTGAATACTGTGAGCTTTGTCACCCTGACACCACCAGTCCTCAGCCACTCTTTTCTCTCCCCATCACCATTGAGTTTAGGCATTCCGTTTAATTATAACCCCACCCATCAGGATTACTGTCAGAAAAATAATATTTGGTAGAAAGTTTTTAAAGTTTTCAGATACTTCTATATGAAATCTTCTGTTTTGTTTTGTCTCTTTTTTTTTTAGTTGCATTTATATTATTTTAGTTTTAAAATAGATCATCCAGTCTTTTAGGAAAAAAAGTAGAAACATTCATTCAAGGAGAAGCCACCAACACTTTAGACATGATATACTCATTAGTTTAATTAAAGATGCCTTTTTTTTTTTTACACATTGCTCATCTATTTTACAGGTTGAGGCAGAGGCATAAAATATGGAATAGGAGAAGGGTAAAATGAAAGGGAAAAACAAATGGAGCCTAGAAAGACATAAATCTTTGGAGTTTATTATATAAAATTTAAATGCCAGAGGTCATAGAAAGTAAATTAAGAATCACTAAAAACATCACTGTTTTGCTGAGATATGTAATTGTTAATTCATGTTAAAAGTAATATTCTGATGCCACCTTCAATAATCTTGTGGCCAACCACTGAATTATCAGGCATATTGGTAAAGTGTTCTTGCACTTATTTGAAATGCCTTTTGCTAGTGTCACCAAGGACTTTCCATATCCCAAAACAATGATTAATTTAGAATTTTTATTTAAAATATATTTTATATTATGCCTAAATAATTGGCCAATATCTCCATTTTTGGAATAACCTCTACCTTTACCCCCAGTCCATTACTCTACTAATCTCTTGAAACCCTTTGTTGACATCATGTTGGTCTTTTCTTGACTGGTGACTCATTTTTAATTAGTATATAAATTGGGAGTAGTCAGAGGTTCTATTTATCATCTCCTCTTCTCATGGTGTGAAACCCTTTCTACTCTCATGGCTGAAGTTATAGGTAATGAGCTTAACAGTAATTTCTGTCATGTAGTCTCACATGCATTCTCCTACTTGTTCCAATTTTTAATTCCATTTGGGAATATTTTAAGTTATTTTAAAGACCTCTAAAATTTATTTTGTGATTCTCTGGGCTGTGACTTGGGTAATCTTTTTTTTTTTTATCATATCTTATTCTGATTTTGACAAGCATGTTTCTATTGTTAGAATGAGAATGTGACTTCCTTTATGGTAGACAGATTTTCTTCTTTATCATTGTGTGTGTAACTAATACAGAGCTGTTTATGTCTCTGAGCATTCTAGTTGACCAGAAGCAAAACACTTGCTATTTAATTTTGAAAAACCAAGAATGCTAGCAAGCTACTGATGTCATTTTCAAATATCTCAATGTTTCCAATATAGTCAACTACTTCTGGACTGGGCTTTCTTACAATAACATCAATTCTCATTTCAGTATCATATTAAGTTCAAATTTTCCTCTAGAGTCTTGCTTAGCTTATACCTTTGTCTCAAAATTTTCTGATTTCCTTAAATAGAAGATCTCTGTTCTTATTTTTATTACTACCTACCACATTCCCAACTAGGCCTTTAACCCATTGCATGTGGCTACTCAGAAGTGTTTTTGAGAAAGGGCCTGGGGAAGTAGCTCATGCCTGTAATATCAGCACTTTGGGAGGCCAAGGTGGGTGCATTGTTTGAGTCCAGGGGTTCAAAACCCGCCTGGGCAACATTGTGAAATCCTGTCTCCACTAAAAATGCAAAAATTAACCAGGCATTGTGGCACGTGCCTGTAGTCCCAGCTTCTTGGGAGGCTAGGGTGGGAGGAACATCTAAGCCTAGGAAGTCGAGGCTGCAGTGAGCTGTGGTCATGCCACTGCACTTCAGTCTGTGCAACCAGAGTAAGACCCTGTCCAGAAAAAAAAGTGTGTTGGAGAAAGGAATATAATCCTTAGCAGAAAGTTTAACAAACTGTTAATCCTCAAAGCTGATGTGCTTTGAGGATTTGAAATAGTTGATGTACTATTTACACTTATATATTTGTAATTACTGAAGATCTTTCCCCAGCCTGTATTAGATATGTTACACTGCATTTCGATAACCAACTTCTCACACCTCTCACAGCTCTTTCTCAAATACACGTCTGAGTAGCCACATGCAATGGGTTAAAGGCCTAGGTGGGAATGTGGTAGGTAGTAATAAAATTAGGAACAGAGATCTTCTACTTAAGGAAATCAGAAAATTTTGGGACAAAGATATAAGCAAGACTCTCACACCTCTAGCTAAGCCAACTTCTCACACCTCTAGTATTAACTTTGCCATTATATCATTGAAATCTGTAGTGTTTCAGATGTCTACTAGATAGTAAGCAATCAGAACATAGATTATATTTTATTCCTCTGAACTAAAAAATTATACGGGAAATTTCTGCTGGATAGGTGGAATATTAATAAAACCTTGTGGTATAAAAATATTTGGCAATTTGAAGGATAAAATGTCTAGTAAAACTAATGCAAATTAAGCAAGGAGATATATTTGCAAAGTTAAAGAAGTATTTTTTAGAGTATTGCTATGATTTGAATCTTTATGTCCCCTTAAAATTCATGCGTTACAATTCTAATACCCAAGGTTATGGTATCAGGAGATGAGAATTTTGGAAGATGATTAGGTCATGAGAAGAGAATCCTTATGAACGGGGATTAGTGGGCTTATAAAAGACACCCTAGAATAATCCCTCACTCCTTTCCCTATGTAAAGACTCAGAAGACGGCATTATCTGTGCACTAGAAAGTAGGCCCTCACCCGACAGAGAATCTGCTGGTGCCTTAATCTTGGACTTTCCAGTCTCAAAAACTGTGAGAAATACATTTCTGTTGCTTCCATGCCACTCAGTCTATAATGTTTTGTTACAGTAGCCAAAACAGAATGAAACAGGTATGCTGAGCAGAATGGGTTTTATTCAATTTCCAATGAGATACCATTGGGTAATCAGAAGTGTATCATTTTAAGTTTTACATTTTTATTTTATCTTTTAGAGACAGTGTTTTACTTTGTAGCACAGGTTGGAGTTCAGTGACAAAATCCTAGCTCACTGCAGCCTCAAACTCCTGGATTCAAGTGATCCTCCCTCCTCAGCCTCTCTAATAGACAGGACTACAGGAGTGAGCCACCATGCCCAGCTAATTTTTTTTTTAAATTTTGTAGAGACCGGGTCTTGTCCAGTCTTGTATCAAATTCCTGGCCTTAAGCGATGCCTCTGCTTCCGCCTCCCAAGTGTAATAATTATAGGCATGAGCCACTGCTCATGCCTATAATTTTTAAGGAAACATTTTCAGAATTGTATAGAAAATGAAAATGAGTATGTACCAAAATGGAAGTTTAACTCCTCTTAGCATGTTGATATAGTCTCTATTGGAAAGATGCTTTTGGCATGAATTAGCATGATGGCAGAATAGACAAACAGAAAGGGACAAATTAATGCTAAATTTTGATGTCGTAATTGACATAACTAATACATTGAATATAGTTTTAAATAGAAAAGAGAAATCAAGTTAACCATTGTAACTCATTAAGTATTTAAGCAAAACGATAATATTCCTGAAACAGAGACTAGGAAGGTGCAGGTTTGGAAAATTTTTTTTAAAGTTTATATTTTGTTTAAAATGTAAATTCAAGAAAACGGAGTGCCATCAGAAGAGGGTCATCTGTTTATTTGGCAGGACTGGAATAAAACCCTTAAGTTTATTATATTTGAATGTTTGTTTCTTACATTTATAAAACCAAAAATATGATTATTTTAACTCTCAAGATTGAATAAACTTAATAATAGTATCTTTTATAAACCCAATTTAAGATAGAGCAACTTCTGTGCCAGAAAGTTAATTGGGGGAGCGTTGATATTAAATACAACTGCCAACAAGACTAAATACAGACTTCGTCTGGTCAGCATATTTTCTCCCTAGAGAGAAAACTAAATGAGAAGCCAAATTATAATTCACAGATTTTGTGACAAACAAGGAATCAAGGGATAATGAAAATGTAATCAGACCAAAATAGGGATATGAGTGCCTCTTGCGCTTCATAGATTTAGTTCTTGAGTAAATCAAAAGAAAAAAGATGGGTAAGAAGAAAAACCATAAAGTAAGGATGGCTGTTACTAGATTTTTTAAAATTAAGAATATTATATATTGTTATAGTTGTTTTGTCCCTGATAAACCAAAAGAAATGTTATGTTTTCTATCAGCCATTCATCATGTTATGAAACAAAAATTAAAAACAAATTATTGCCTATGTCTTTTATTCGTTATAATAAGCATCAGAGCCTGTTTTACATATCCTGCAATCTAAAAGATGTGTGGGTTTCTTTTCACAGTCACATAACAATTATACTTGATCTGATTGTATGTGAATAATAGAGGCTTCTCTCTTTGAGTAGAAACTGATTAATTTGTTCAAAATACAAGGACAACATTGAACAGTATTTTTGAAAACCTAATCATTGCATAAAATTTCTTTTTAGTAATGAAACCTATTTTTTTCTCAGACAGAATGTTATGTAAACAGAAGCCCAAAAATCCATATGAACATTCAGAAAAAGACTACAGAGAATAAAAATAGTAATTACTGTAATACTAGTTCTAACAGAAGGGGCTCAGATACTTAAAAGCAAAGTGAAGAAGCTATGATAAGAACTTATTTATGCCTGAAATTATAATAGTTACATATATCTCCTCTCCTTTGGTCATTTGCTGTTTTATTTTTTTGTCGTTGTCTTTTCTTCAAAGGGTGTTTATATTATTAGTTTTAGATAAAACAGTGCTCTTGAATAACGTTGGTCCCACATTTATCATACGAATTCATACTGTTTTTCATTACTTGCTAATTATCTCATGTGCATTAGTCAGCCTTCTCTAATTAAATCATAATATTATTGAGAATAGGAAATAAAGCTAGTACTTGTTTTTTAATCACTTCAGTAGCCAGCATCCTAGAATTTCAGTGCAGAAATCCTATAACAGCTTGTTAATCTCTCAGTCAATGTATATTTATGAATAAATATTCTGAGAATATTACTTAATGGGAATATCTGATATTCTGGTTTTATGCTCGTTTGACTCTAATCCCCTTTATAGAGTTACTTTTTGAAAAAAAAGATTGGTCCATACTTTATTATAAAATCTTTCCTAGTTATATTTTAATTTTAGCAATCCTAATTGAAACATAAAAGTTTTACCCATCATAATTACCATGTATATGGTAGGTGATATATTTTAAGGGATATAAGATCCTTTTTTTGTCTTTTAAAAACCCAAAATATGTGTATGTTTTTGTATTGCTGTTCTTATTTATATCTATCCACATCAAAACATAAGATACACATTAGCAATTTAAAATCTAATTAAGATAATATTTTAAAATATCAGATTAGAAAATAAACAACCTTCCCCATCTCACATTAAGACGATTATCTTGTGTTTCACTCATTATGCATGTCATTATGTTTTACCTTATTTAGTTTCAGTCTATGACCAGTGGACTGAACACAAATTTTAACAGTCATTCTTTAAACAATCAAGGTAGATAAGTAACTTTAATTTACAAATGAAGACTGAAATTAGTTTAATAATTTTTCAAAGGAAAAAGTGAGTGGGGAGCGGTGCAACATATTAACTTGGTAAACGCAAAGAATTTGTTTTTATAGGACTCGGAACATTCATCTTCAGCCTTACCCATAAATGACTCATGATTGCTACCTCATGAAAGAAAAAGAAAGTTGGTTTTACGTGCAGCTGCTCCTCCTGCTGCTGAAAGGCTTGGATTGCCAGCCCTAGTGAAGTCCAGGTATGTATTTTTCACTTTGTCACTTCTCTATACAACTTTCAAAGGCATTACAGGAAGTTTTGTCTCTCCACACCCACTATATTGCTATTCTGTAATGCTGTAACAAATTTACCACAAATTTAGCAACTTAAAACAACACTTATTTAATGTCCTACAATTTTGTGTGTCAGAGTTTGGTGTCAGTCATTTGAAGTTCTTATCTGGGGACTCTAGGGAGAATCTACTTCCAGTCTCATTCAGGGTGTTGGCCAAATTCATTTTCATGCAGTTTTAGCACTGGGGTCTATATTTCCTTGCTGACCACTGCAAGAGGATTATTCTTCTAAAGACTGTTTGTATCCTCTGGATAGCTCACATTTAAGACTATCTCGATTGCTCCTTAATTCTCCATATGCTTTTTATATTTCTGGTTGACTCTTCTGTTTTCCTTTTCTGCTTTTACCAGCCCCTGTGATTTCTCTGAGCTCACCTGAATAAGCCAGCATAGTCTGCCTATTTTAATGTTATCTAATTTTAAATGTTAATTTATCTTTTCATCTTCAATGCCCCTTTACAGTAGTGCTTGCAGTAGTGTTTCAATGAATAAACCCTAGTCAAGAATCTTGTGACATCTTTTGAATTAAGCCTACCACACACACACACAAAATTGATATTTAAACCTAAATGTCCTGATATGCCTGCTATTATTTCTTGTTTTAAATATGAGAAATATGCCTCAAAATTTACCTACTTTATATTCTCACCCAATTGATAAATATCTATTTTGAACTAAATAAAGTACTAACCTATTGGAGAATCAAGTCATACAAGTCCATTGGTGGAAATCAAGAAGACTGAACTTATGTACTAGACCCAGCTACTATCAGCTGGATTGAACCCCCCATGTTCTTTTCTTCTGAACTCTGTGTCCCATGACATCACATTAATAGCTGAAAATCAGCCTTGGTAGAAGTAGTTATACCGTGGGGATTAGCAAACTGTACTGCAAGTTGCAATAGATTATGCTATGATGGAGATTTGTGAAGGTAAAGGGATAACCTAACTCGGGTCGAGGAAAAGGTAGAGGCCAGATAATATTTCTTTGTGAAAGCAACACAATAGACATCTTGAAGTCTCAAGCGTTTTTTAGTACTTTGGAACATTAAATGTTTCCATTTGGTGATTATATCAGACAGACCAGAAATGCATGTCTTAACTTGCACACGTTGGCTTCAGTGAGCTTGAGCAATTGAGTTAATCTATTTAGGCTTCAGTGTCCAAAACTGTGGGGCTTGTTTGTTTGTTTATTTTAACATTCAATAAATACATACCAACCACTTCCATGTATCACGTGATATGCTAGACCTGAGAATAATGTGGTAAGAAATAAATATTTTTATTAAACCAAAATGTGCTTAATATACATTCTACAGATTTGAAACTTAATAAGCAAACGTAAGTTAGTGATAATGATTTTGTGTTTCAGGACCTTTTTAACAATTTAAAGAAGCTTAAGAAAACTTTCTTGAGAACACTTATATGAAGATATGTAACAATTTATATAGAGTTTTAAGAAATTAATCAGGCATTTTATGCCCATTCATTGACTTTCTTTGTATCCATGCAACTCTGTTAAAATTTTAGAATTTTAGGAGAAAGTGGAAATAAGTAGCTCTTTATTTTCAAAGACATAGTAGAAAAAAACACTAAGGAATATAGTCACAACACAATGTGGTTTGATGTGACTGAGCAATAGGCTATAAATATAGAACAAATACAATATAAGCAACAATAGGTGAATCAAATTAAGACCATGGATGGCATTGTGTATTTATGTAGAGAATTTAGTGTTTTAAGTTCACTTTTGGGTTTGGATTTTATAAATTGTTTTCTGTCTTCTGTGTAGCATTATAAGAGAGATTTTCCTTTCATTTTGGAGGAAATCTGTTTTAAGAAGGCTTGGGAAATGGTATAAGAGTCTCTAAGCCTTTGGGGGAAAGGTTCCCTTTTTTCCATTACAGTTATTTCCTTTGGGTTGATATTTCCCTACTTCTTCATTCTACACAAGCAATAAGTTCTAAAGAGAGCTTCATGTAACATTAGAACTATTTTAACTGAGAATCTTCAAAATATTTAAGCAAAGCATTTTAACTGGCTTGCAGCTTCCTAACTCTTAAATAATTTTTTCATAAAACAGCCAGAGGTTTCATTGCTTTTAATGAGCATGAGGCAGAAAAACTTAAACTTCATTTTGGAATTGTGTTTGAAACTCTAAATGGAAATGCGGAATAGATTAACTTTTTTTAATGATAAAAGCAAAACCAAGAATTTATCCTTAGGCAAATTAATAGCCAAATAAATTTCTTATTTTCAGTTTCTACAGGACAATTATTTTTAAAACCTAATATTGTTCCATTAAAGTGGGCAAAGTTAATATTCTCCAAGTAGATCTAATATTCAAAAAAAAAGTCCATTTCAAAAGTACATTTTGATTTGCATTTTGATTTTAAGTAACAATGAGTTTGTTTTCAAATAAAAACCAAAGTAACTCTAATATAATAACATATATTTTTCATTCATTTATATGTTTGCTCTCCATCTCTACTTTGATAAATATGCTAGTCTTATGAGCACATAGCCATTATTTTTTCATTTGTATATTAGTTTATAGCTTTAATCATTATCTCATGGCAATAAACATTTAAAACAAATTACTATTATGAATGTGAAAATTTTAAATAAATAAACTGAGAAAATCTTAAAATTTGACTTTCTGTGAATAAAAATAAACATTGTGAGGCTCTTCACTGTAGTCTCATGGCATATTTAAAAGAAAATGTTTTATGGCATTTAAGCTATTTTCATTCCAAATTCCTACTCACATTATTATAAAAATTCCATTTATATATTTGAATGATGTAATAGAGAAGATAAAGCATAATCTTTGTTTTAAAATAATGATTAAAACCTGAGTAAGTATTTGGTATGGTTTAGATATTTAACCCCTCAACACCTCATGTTGGGTTTTGATCCCCAGTGTTGGAGATGGGACCTAATGTTTGGATCATGGGAGCAGGTCCCTTATGAAGGCTTGGTGCTGATCTCAAGATAATGAGTGAGTTCTTGCTCTATTAGTTCCCATGAGAGCTGATTGTTAAAACGAGCCTGGCACATTCCTTCTCTTTCTCTTGCTATCTTCCTCTCACCATGTGATCGCTGCACACACCTACTCCCCTTCACCTTCTGCCATCAGCAGAAGCAGCCTGAGTACCTCACCAGAAGCAGATGCTGATGCCATGCTTTTCATACAGCCTGCAGAACTGCAAGTCAAATAAATCTCTTTTCTTTATAAATTACCCAGTCTCAGGTGTTCCTTTATAGCAAAACAAGTGGACTAAGTCAGTATCATATATATGTATAACACACACACACACATATTTTGCTATTATATATAATATATAATGTTTCTATTTTTATATGTAATAACAAAAGTATACAGAATATATCATTTTAAAAATCGAAGTATGATTAACAAGTTCTTTCAATATACATTTTTCAAATTAGGGGTGGAGAGCCACTATATTATTGAGTGCTGAAGAGGTTGGGATAAACAAGCTAAAACCAAGCCATCCTAATGGCCATATAAACTTCACACACCTTTTTGAAGAGTTACAACCTTAGATTCAATATTGTTATGAGAAATTAAAATTAAAGTCTAATCCCGTTTATATAATTCAAAGACACTGAAAAATCCATGCAGCTTTGAGATGATGCTATAATAGGATGGGACTCTTGAACGCCTTGGGAGGTGGATGTATTTTGTCAATGGGAAAGGCATGAAGCACAGGGGTCAAGCTTGCTGAGGATGCTTTGTTGAAATTTCTTGAGTACATTCCCTCCATCTTTAGATCTGTGAAATTATAAAGTCAAATTTACTGCCTCTATCCTACATACGACGTAGAAGGAAATGCATACCTGTTACAGAAATGTTTGTTCAAAAATGGGGAAATGGAAACCAGAAAGGGGTCACTGGAAATTCTGAAATCTAACTCAGAAAATATTGTGCATTCCTTGATTAAATCGCAGCCTGGGAATGTCTTTTCTTCCTTGCAGTTTCCCAAATTGATCCGAAGACTTAGCGCAATTCTAGTCATAATCTCAGCAAACTGTTTCTTCCATGAATTGACAAGTTGATTCTAAAATGTGTTAAATATATAGAAATAGACTCATAATTACAAAATGATCTTTTAAAAGCAGTACAAATATGGAGGGCTTACAATATATGTTTAAGACATTATAAAAACAGAGCGAAATTTGAGTAAGGATAGATAGATTAGTGGAACAAAGCAGAGAATCCTAGAATAGAACTATAATTACATGGTTAAGTGATTCACACACACACACACACACACACACACACACACACACACACACACACACACCAAAGAACAGTCCTTCTTTGTTCAAGATGCACCTTCAACAAAGCTCCTGAATCAAATAGAAATCCAATGGATAGCTTTAGACCGACAGACCTAAAAAATTATTACTGTATGTACCCTGATTAACTTACTCTGAAAACATACCCCAGCAAAATAGGGGAATAAGCAGAAAACAAAACATAGAATTTCCCAAGTATGAATCCAACGGAAGAGAGGCAATGGAGAATCCAGGAGTATCAAATGTATCAAAACTTGCTGAAAATAAAGAGTCCTGATTCAATTAAGGTAAGAGAAGGCTTCCTGAAAGCTGCCTCATGAAAAAAGATAAAAATTATATTTAGCCATTTAGAATGCAAGATTAAGTGGAGATGTACAAATGCACTGGAGGGGCAGAAAGATTAATCATAGATTTTGAATACATCAAAGAAAATAAAAATATGAGACAAATATCAACTCTAGAAAAAAATGGAAATAATTATGTAAAGGAAATATAACTGTATCACTTAACTAAAAAAATTGCTATTACATGTTTATGTTGATTAAAATGCAGTTTAGACAGATATGTATTATTATAAAATATCAAATTTGTATTAGAAAATAAGCTCTGAGTTCTAAATAATTATGATCCTGGGGGAAGAACTCATCTGTGCCATTAAATCCATAAGTTTCTATATTCTTTATGTTTTTTTTTGTTCCTTCATTGTGCCTCTGACTCTACGGCATCATTTTATCTATTACATTTGCTTGAAATGATTGATGACACTCTCAAACAGATCTACAAAACTATCAGCAATCCCACAGTGTGTCTTTGACTTCCCCTTTCCCACTGCCTGCAAAATCATACTAATTTTTCTCTATTTTCCTCAAATACTATCAGAATTCCTACTTTCACCACCACCATCGAACACATACTCACTCTTAACAGGTATTTTAGAGAAAGCCAGTAACTTAATATTTTAATGGTTTTACATTCAAAATATAAATTTAAAACCAATTGATTTTGAAAACTATCATCACTTTTGTTATTACAAAGCACCTGTTTCTTATGTACCTTAAAAATGAATTATTTTATCTATGCATTGATATACAAACATATACTTACATTGCAAATAGACCTCTCCTTTGTGTCAATTTAACTTTTTTTCTATTAAACTCAATACATTTCTATCAAATTATGTAAAAGAAGAGCTTCATCTAATAAAACTAAAGCAGCCTCGGGGGCTCCATTTCTCTTTCCAGGTTATAGCTCCATATAGTACCATGATACATTATGCACCCATGTATCATTAAGCTTCTTTTTTTTAAATTATTTATTTATTTAATTTTTTTTTAGACAGAGTCTCGCCCTGTCACCCATGCTGGAGTACAGGAGCATGATCATAGCTCACTGCAGCCTTGAACACCTGGTCTAAAACAATCCTCCCACCTCGGTCTCCAAGGTAGCTAGAATTACAGGTGCATGCCACCACACCCAGCTAATTTTATTTTTTATTCTTTTTGGAGAGATGGGGTTTAGCTATGTTGACCAGGCTGATCTCAAACTCTTGACCTCAAGTGATCCTCCCACCTCATCCTCCCAAAGTGCTAGGATTACAGGTGTGAGCCACCATGCCCAGCCCAACTTTTTGAAAGAGTGCTTCAAGCTCACTGTATTCATTTTCTCACTGCTTATACACTACATTCCAGTCTGGCTTCATTCTGCTGAAATACTCTCTAAGGGCATATCATCAAAGCCATATCTTACATCACCACCACCAACAGCAAAATCAGTTCTTTTTTACTAGACCTCTCATGGACATTCAACACTGATAACTACTGAGAACTGTCCTTTAAAGGTTTTTTTTTTTTTTTTCCATTTTTCATCTACCTCTCTTCTCTTCATACTTTTTCTCTTCCTTGTTGAAGTTCTTTAATACCTGCCCCAGGTCCTAGGAAGTAGAAGACTTCCACTTCTTAAGTGGTTTTCTCTTTCAGAAAACTTCTCCACACCCAAAGATTCAATCACCACTTATATGCAGATGAATCTCCAATATAATTCCTGAAGCCAGATACCTAGTGAACATAAGATCATATATTTCTGGACTTTACTTCCTTTGTGTTTATACTGAAACATTTCATGCAACACACATACAAAACTAAACTCATAGTCTCCGACAAATGTGGTTAATTTCCGCCATTTTCTTTTTTTGCTGAGTGGCACTGGCATCCATGCTGCTATGGAAACTAACAACGTTAAGACTCATCCAAGAAGTTCACTTTTCATATATACTTATATACTTAACCTTTCTTCAGGTACCACCATATTTAAGTCCTAAAACCTCTTTTAAAATATACACTTCTTCAGAGGAAACTTCCTGGTATCTGGCAATATGATAGCCCTATTATAAATTCTCTCAGCACTGTATCTAGCTCTCAGCACAAGTACAATTCAAGATTGGAAAGATTCTAGGTTGATGGCAGTCTTCCATGTGAGACTCTATGCTGCTTATATCTACAATTGCTTACCACCATAACATCACTGTATATGCCACACCAAAATAGCTGCCTGACACATAGTGTAATATGAATATATGAATAAGGAAAACTAGAGTAGCTACCTAATTTAAAAATTCAGTAAACAAACCAACAGATTTGTCAACCTATAAAACCCATTTTTTCCACATTGATTTTGACCCGGTCATTTTGCTGAAGTGACATTTTATGAAAATCATGATTTCTAAGAGTGTTACTTATATACAACCACTCATAACTTTACCGGGGCTCTCATCAGCATTTAACATGAGAAGTCATACTTCCTTTTGTAAGCCATCTCTTTCCTTGAATTCTGTGATTTACAGATAATTATTTTGGAGGAGTAGGTGAAATATAAATTTGAGGCTATCAACTTATTAAGTGGATTTTGAGGACAGTCACTATATTCTTTTTTTTTTTTTTTTTTTTTTTTTTTTTTTTTTTTGAGACGGAGTCTCGCTCTGTCGCCCAGGCCGGACTGCGGACTGCAGTGGCGCAATCTCGGCTCACTGCAAGCTCTGCTTCCCGGGTTCACGCCATTCTCCTGCCTCAGCCTCCCGAGTAGCTGGGACTACAGGCGCCCGACACCACGCCCGGCTAATTTTTTGTATTTTTAGTAGAGACGGGGTTTCACCTTGTTAGCCAGGATGGTCTCGATCTCCTGACCTCGTGATCCACCCGCCTCGGCCTCCCAAAGTGCTGGGATTACAGGCGTGAGCCACCGCGCCCGGCCAGTCACTATATTCTTAAGAAAGTTCTATTAATTTTGCAAATACTTTGAGGGTTATAAAAAATGGGGATATAATAAATCATACACCAAACACAATAAATGATCATTAAGTACTTTATTACTGATGCTACATATTTCCCAAATCCAGTAGAAATGTAATCAATTTTTTAACAGGATTTCAGTCTTTCTATTAAGTCTTTCAGATCAAAATTAAAGAAAATTATATTGTATACTTGATCGATGTCCTTTATAGAGTCTTCATGCTCAGTCATAGGCTCAATTACATGTGTCTAATAAGAATTATAAATAATAGGACAAAGTTACTTCAGTTAATATATTCTGTTAATCTATTTCAGTTCAGAAAAAAAAAACACTAACCTATTTAGTTTTAGGATCTAATATATGTGAACAAACTTGGGAGGATTTCTTTAATAATCTATATGCATTTTTTGTTTTACATTTTTTCAAGCAAACATGTGACCTGGATAAGTATTTGCAAACACAAAATCACTGCAGTATGTTAGAGCACAAATGCAATGGCAGGCATTATTTTTCAGTAAGTTATTGTGTAAAATATTTGAGTCATGCTGAGTACAAAATCTTTTGTTAAGGCTGATTGGGTTGCAGATTATAAAATGCCCTAATAGTACCAATACATTAGACTCACCTTTCTCAAAAGAAAGTGACTAATAATATTTTGTTGCTGAGTTAAACAGAATAAATGTCTAAGAATTTAGCCAGGAGGCTGAGATTTTAATTAGTTATTAAGGTGTTCAGGTTAATGTAAATCAGATTTGCTTTTCTAGCTAAAGAATCCAGATTGACAGTGGCATTAACATTGTCATTAAATCTTGAATAAACACAAATTTCCCAGTGCTTGCAAGAATCTGACTTGGAAAAAGATGAAAAAAGAAATACTATAGAGTATTTTGTTAATTATCAAGCTTTTTCTTTGTGTTATGTTTATCAGATATATAACCTTTTAAATTGAAGCTGATAATCAAATAAAGTACTTTTTAAAAACTGCTTGTTAGAGTTAAATGATTACTCTTAGCTTTTCTTTCTTTTTTTCTATTTCCATTTTTAATAGCCAAAAAAAGTTTCTTATCACTGTTTCTAAATAACACCATGACATCCTGCTCACAAATTAAAATACATTGCAATTCTCTAAATAACAGCAATCTACCCTTTCTAAAATTTCAAATCAAGGGTGCTTAATTTTTAGTAAACCCACCTATTCTGCATGTATAAATTCAATTTAAGAAAGAGCTTATGTTTAGTAGGCTTGAAAATGAGACTATTTTTTCTCTTAATTTTTCTCCTTAAAATTTATTAATTCCCTTTTACATTCTAGATCTATAAATACTAAAATATTCTACGTATTAACTACTCAAACCTTCATGTAATAGTGTAGGTTCTACTCATGTCACAGATGAGGGAACCAAGGAGCACAGTTATTTACTAACTTGCCCAAGGCAAGTTTCAAAATTATCTTTGAAAATGATAGCTTTCAAGGTTTATTCTATAATGGTTTACGATCATGCGTTACAGAAATAGAACAACTGGGTCTAATTACTAGTTCTAATAATTCTTGTGGAGATTCACTGAGATTTTATACACACACATGTATGTTTGCGTGTATAAACATGTATATAACAATGCCTTGCACATATGTATTAACTATTTAATATATGTGAACTATTATATTCATTACTTGGCATTAATGTTTAGGTTGTTTCCATTATACCTTCAAAATGTAATGACTTTTTGAGAGCCTATAAGAAATTATTGGAAATACACATATATTTTTAAAGGGATTAGGGATTCCTGGTATTTGAATATGAATTGTGAAGACTAGCATTGAAAAAACCCTTGGTAACTTAGCAGGAGTAGCTGCAAAGGTGTTCCTTCTTTTCCTAAATGAATTATAAAGTATAAGAGCAATAAAGTCTACTTGTTTTTTTACTACTAAAGTTAAATATATATATTTATATTAAATATATATTAAATATATATTTATAATGAATATATATATAAAATATATAATATAAATATAAATAATTATATATTAAATATAAATATAATTAATATATTAAATATAATTTATATATTAAATATAATTAATATAAATATATTAAATATATATTAATATATATTAAATATATATTAAATGCATATTTAATATATATTTATATTGAATGCATATTTAATATATATTTATATTGAATGCATATTTAATATATATTTAATATATATTTATATTGAATGCATATTTAATATATATTTAATATATATTTATATTGAATGCATATTTAATATATATTTAATATATATTTATATTGAATGCATATTTAATATATATTTATATTAAATGTATATTTAATATATATTAAATATATATTTATATTAAATGTATATTTAATATATATTAAATATATATTTATATTAAATGTATATTTAATACATATTTATATTAAATATATATACTTAAATATATATATATGAAAATGTAGAATTTGAAGCTTTGGTTCAAGTAACTATTATTCCTCTGTCAAAGCCTTTCCTGAGGAATTTTTTTTTTTTGGTGGAGAGTGAAAAGACTAGGTGCGCAGTGACCAGCTAAAGGAAGAATGAGGGAGTTCCAATACTGTGAGAATGGGATTCCAGGTGGATTTCCTGAAAATGGTTAGATTCCTCAGAAGCCTTTCCTTATTTTGGAATGTTATTTATTATAATATTTAGTTTGTTTCTTATTCTGCTCAGGAGTCTCTACTAATCTGTGGTTTGTACTGACCAGAAACAGGTATTTCAAGGAAATTGATGATAAAATATATATAAAGTAAAATATAAACCTTTACTTTTAAAGATTGTGCTATTTGGTGCACAAAGAATGGTATATGTGTTTTCTGAGTGAGATGAGAAATCAGACAGCAGATGAGTCATACATTCTTACTTCCTTTTGAAAAACTGAAAATGACTCCTGGATTGAACATAGAGCTGGCAAATCAGAAGCAAGAAAATCTAAAGGTGGTTGTGAAAAATATATAGTAGAGAAGTGGTGGTGGTGGCGAGAACCAGTTATTGTGGCTATATTACATAAATAGTGCTAATAGAATTTCCTTTTAGATTCAATACATGGTGTAAGAGAAATAGAGGAGTTGAGGAAAATTCAAATATCCTGGGCTATGCTAATAGGATACAGGCTCTTTGCAAATATTTTTATATGTTTGTTTTTTTAAAATATGGAACCCTTGAATAAAAGCAAATCTGAAGGGGGTGATTGGAGTATGTAAAGGTTAGATTGAGTTCAGATTGGGGCATATTAATTTGAGATTGTCTATTGTATGTTCAAGGAAAAATGTTGAATTGTTAATTAAACATGACTGGATTTTAAAATAGAGGCATGACTGGAGATACTTTTTTTTTTTTTTTTTTTAAATTCTCAGCATCTAAATGATATTTGAAGCTATGGGACAGGATTTAGGAACCAGGAGACTGAATCTTGATAATAAGTAAAGTGGCCTCAAACTAAGTTGTGGAGCATTTCAAAGTTATATGGTTAGAGTTTGCATGATGAGTTTCTGTATAAAGAAAGAAGGACCTGTAAGCCAGACAGGACAGAGAACAGAAGGTATGTTGTCCCTGAAATAAAGGAACAGGTTCTAGGTAAATGGTAGTAAGAAGATTCAGTGCTGTAGGAAGATCAGGCAGGAAGTAAATTAAAAGTTTACATTAGATTTTCAAAGTCGATTTTATTTGTAACACTGGTAATAATAGCTTTTTTTTTGGAAGTGTTGGAATGGAATTAGTTTAAGTGAGAATGGAAGTTAATTAATCAGAGCCTGATGTCCTTATCTGTAAAACTGAACAATACTAATAACTATTTCAAAGGGTTTGTAAGAATTAAGTTAATTTACATAAATTATAAAGCACGGTACCAGGTACATAATAAATACTTTAAAATTGGGCTTCAATGTTTATTACAATTAATTATTTTTAAAGACTTTTACTAAAAAACAAATTTTAAAAGAACAGTAAAAAAGGGATGGATATACTACAACATCTGAGTTTTTTTAATTCCAGAGAATTTTTATTATTGAAATAGACAAATAGTTCAATAGCTTATTGGAATTTTAAATGGTGTGCTTAAATAATTTAGAGAAAAGAACAGATATTGAAATTAATTCCTTGCCTTTTTCCTAATTTCACATACTTTCAAGTTAGGTATATTAGATATAGAAAGTAGACCTCAGCTAGGTGTACTTTTATATTTAGAGTGAGACAGAATTAGAAACATTTTGTAATATAGGTGTAGTCTGTATAAGCTTGCTTAGTTGAATTAGAGTTGTCTCTGAGAGTTGTCAGAGTCACAGGATTGGCAGAGGATGTATGGCAAATGTGTATTTTTATTTGTATTTATATCAATCCTGTATTAGTCTGTTTACACACTGCTATAAAGAACTGCCAGAGACTGGGAAATTTATAATGAAAAGAGGTTTAATTGACTCACAGTTCCTTGAGCATAGATGGGGAGGCCTCAGGACACTTATAATCATGGTGGAAGGAGAAGCAGGCATGTCTTAAAGGCAGCAGGCAAGAGAGCAACAATGAGAGAGAAAGAGAGAGAGAGCATAGGAAGAACTGTGAAACACTTATAAAACCATCAGATCTCGTGAGATCTCACTCACTATCATGATAACAGCATGGGGAAAACTGTCTCCATGATCCAATCACCTCACACCAGATCCTGTCCTCAACAGATGGGGATTATGGAGATTACAATTCAAGATGAGATTTGGTTGGGGACACAGAGCCAAATCATATCAAATCCCCAAAAGCTAAAGCTGCGTGTGAGGGTGATGTGCTCTCTTTGGCTTAAGCACTATATTAATGTTTTCCTACATATCTGAGTTTTCTTCCTTTGTCTCTGATAAGAGTTATTCTTTACTTCCGTTTCTAACTTTCATCTCAACAAGTCCATGAATGTAATAAAAAATAAGAAAAACACTTGAATTAATGTTTTGTCCCTCTTAGCATCTTGGAAAATGAAAACAGTCCTTGATATAACGAACTTTAATTGTCAGAAATGGCTGCACCTTGGCAATGATACAACTTTTTGTATCCACGAGAGAAACATGTTTCTCGATTTGAATTCAATCATGAAATATATGTAATTATAAAGTAATTAAAAATACATAGCTTCAAGGCCTCCTGTTGTTGGATAATAGATATGAGATAAGCATTTTGGACTAGACCCTTTGTAATTTCTATGACACTAATAGAAAAGTAAGAATTATTCTGAAGCAAAAAATGTAGATAAGCTGGAAGAGAAGAGTCACAGTTATAATTTTCAATATGATTTCTTCTAATTTCCATCATGTATTCATTTGCATTTTTATGAAGTAGATCTCATATCAATGCATTTGTTCAACAAACTATTGTTGTCATTCACTCTGTAAAATGATAAGGCCATACTGATGAAAAAAGTCATGGCCTCTTTCCAGAATAATCTCACAAGCATCACGAGAGATGTTTATATCAAACTTTACAATGAAATAACAAAATGTACCTAGTACATAGTAAATTAATGAATTAACAGTTTCAGCAAAACAGGGAGGAGTCTTTAGTTCTATTTATTAATAGTAATAAAAAGTATCCAATACCTGCATGCGTGCACACATACACACATGCATACATGCACCCACATACACATACACACACACACAATGGAAATTTTTATAATCAGTATTTGGCTACTGGTTGATTATTCATGGTGAGTCAAACAGAAAAGTTTGTAACAACTCCTACTGTTCTAAATTGGACACCTTACTGCTCTAACAGAATATTCAAGAATACAGTTGACACTTGAAGAACTCTAGAGTTAAGAGCACCATCCCTGGAGCAGTTGAAAATCCCCATAAAGCTTTTGATTCCCCCAAAACTTAACTTCTAATAGCCTGCTGTTGATTAGAAGCCTTACCAATAACATATGCAGTCAATTAGCACATATTTGGTATGATATATATATATATATATATATATATATATATATATATATATATATATATAAAACTGTATTTTTAACAATAAAGTTAGCTAAAGAAAAGAAAATGTTAAAATCATAAGAAAGAGAAAATATATACGTGTTTTTCATAAAGTGGGAATGGATTATCATAAAGTGGGAATGGATTATCATAAAGGTCTCAGTCCACATTCTCTTCACGTTGAGTAGGCTGGGGAACAGGAGCAGATGGCCTTGCTGTCTTAGGGATGACAGAGGCTGAAGAAAATCTACTATCAGTGGAGTGGTGTAGTTGAACCCCATGTTATTTAAAGATCAACTGTAATTCAACTGTAATGTATTCAGACGAATAGCTACTTATTTCTCTTCCCCCTCTAACTTTAAGTATTTATTTAGATGGCTTTACAGGTAAAACTTAAAGTGATGGAGTTTAAGCAACAAATAGGTAAGTGTACTTTTTTAGACTAAGATTTTTTTAAAGATATTGCTTTTTAAATTATTTCCATCTTTGGTCCAAACAAAATATTAGAGTATAGTGGAGTATTTCGGGCATTTACTTTGTCTCTTAATAAGTAGATAATATTTAAGTTATAATATTTATGTTAGAAATATTTTTAATCTTGCTCATTGGAATAAGTTGCCCTTGATATAACTTTATTTACTTTTTGAGTAGCTAAACCATTAAAAAGATACCTAAATATATATGGTTATTTAGTGAAAATCATTCTCAGTCCACTCAGTGCAACTATTACTCAAAATATAATCATGTTATTAGTTTCTTGTCAATCTTTCCAATGGTTTTAGGCATATAGAACCAAATGTTTTTACAAATATTTTGCTTATGTTACAAAACTAATATACTATATATATCTCTGCACCATTCTTTATTCACATTACATATATATTGATGATCCTTCTATAAAAAGACATGCTCAATTTTGCTAAATATTATTCCACTGTACAGGTGTGCTCTAATTTATTTGGACAGTCCTGAACTGACACTTTAGTTATATACAACATTTCACTACGAATAGCTCTGTGCCAATGCATAATAACTTTAGTATACAGTTGTCCCTTCAACCACACAAGTTTGAACTGAACAGTCTCACTTATATGTGAATTTTAAAAATTAAAGTTACAAGTGTGACTGCCTTTCCTGCCTTCCCTGCCTTCCCTTCCACTTCCTCTACCTCTTCCACCTCTGCCACTCTTGAGACAGCAAGACCAACCCCTCCTCTTCCTCCTCCTCAGACTACTCAGCATGAAGATGAGGAAGATGAAGATCATTATCATGATCCACTTCTATTTAATGAGTAGTAAATATATTTTCTCTTCCTTATGATTTTCTTAATAACATTATTTTATTTAGCTTATATTTTGTTAAGAATAGAGTGTATAACACAAATAACATACAAGATATATTTTAATCCACTGTTTATGTTGTTGGTAAGGCTTCTGGTCAGTAGTAGGCTATTAGTGATTAAGTCCTTGGGAGTTTGTAGTTTATTGATTTTTGATTGACAGTTTTTTATTTTTGTTTGTTTTGCTTTTGGTTTTTGGTAATACTTTCATGTCTCTAAATCTTTCTGTTATGGTTACACATCCCTAATTTACTTTGCATTTATAAAATTAAAAATATACATGTTTTTAAGTATTTTTATAATGCCGTTTTAACAGTGTTTAACCCATTTAAAATTTATACCTGTGTAAATTGGAGTCAACTCTCCCCCACAACTTCAGTCATTTCAATGTCATTTATTGAGTAGTTCAACCATTTCTTTCATTCAAAATACTACTAGGTTATATAATTTCCCATATGCATTTACATATGTCTATTTCTGAACCTTATCTATCACAACTTACATTTTCTCTAGTTGATTTAATTGTAATTATTAATTAGGTCACCATTTTATATAATACTGAACCATTTTTTATTGCTAAAATAAAAGTCACTGGATTATAGGAATTATTCTGCATAATACACAAAATAGATTTATTCACTAATACAGTATTGGGTTTTGTTTATTAACACTTTATATAGATCATTTTTGTTAATATTATAGCTATGATTCCTTTTATATTCAATCCTATTTGGATTGTTATATCATCAATATTGGGCTTATTTAATAAATAAAAGTGTTGAAATTTTTCTTCTTTTCCATCCAAGTTATTTAAATATTGTGTTTTTAACTTGGTAGAAATTCCATGAAATCTTCTGCTAGATACCTAAAATTATCTATTTCTTTAGAAATCGATCTGTGTGTATATGTATGTGTGTGTTTATATGTGTGTGTATGTATATATATGTGAGTGTGTAAAAGCATATGTTTTTATAAGTATTTAAAAGCATACGTATGTATGTGTATGTATATACATATGTGTATAAATGTATATGTACTTATAATACATACACACATATATGTACACTTTTATGTACATGCACTTTTACAGACACATATGCTTCTTATAATTATACAAACATGTATAAACTTCTTACAAGTATATAGCGTATATACTTGTATACAACTATATATACTTATATATACATACATATATAAAAATTTTTTTTCTTTTCTTTTATCTTTGTTGTATCTTGTATCTACGGTGGATCTTCAATGTTGAAATTTTTCTTTGTTTTCTGGTAGATTTTCTTCAAAATATATTTTTAATGCTCGTTTCACTCAGCTTTCATTTTTTCTCTCTTCAGTATAGAAGGTTATGTTTTCTTCTATAGATATCCATTTTTCCTAATCCAATAAAAATCGTGTTTTAATTTATGAAAAATAATTTTTTTTTAGTGTTTCCTTGAGATTTGGCTATACTTTTTCAATTGTTTTCTTGAAGCATTCTTGTATAGGTGCTACAAATGTCCTCTTTCTATCATTCACTGTTGACTGAAATTTGACTTGCTTTGACACGGCCATGTGAAACATATTCCCTTTTGGTAGCAGCAGGGGAGAAGCTTTCTCTCCTGACCAGCTTGCTGTCATGATACCAAAAATCCTCTTTTTCTCCATTGCCCTAATAGCATATTGATTCCCCCTCATATTTCATGTTTGTTGGAGTATTCACTTATTCTCACTTTCTTTAAATTTCTCACCCAAGAGGAGAACTTCTTCTGCTGGCCCAGAGTCTATGTCAGAGAATGCCTTCTAGAAGTTTTTTGTTAGGTTTGTCTCCTTGTTTTTCTTGTTTGTCTGCAACAAATTCTACAGACTTTCTGTAGATTAATCTGTGCCCTGTTCTTTCTAATTCCTTCCCTTGGCTTCTATGCAAGCTTTGCTGCTGCTTTTTGGCGCATTTACATGTGCTTTGAAGTCTAAAGATATGAGCTCCCTGGTATTATTTTTAAAATAAACTTTTTGTATTTAGTTCCTATCCAAAAATTCCTTCTGTAACACTGAAAATATGTAACTGGGAAAATTCTGAACTTTTCTTCAATATCACACCAGAAGCCTTAACAATATATTTTAAAGAAACTAATTTGAGGATACTGTAATTTTATATATATTTGGAGGAGGAGGAGGTTTTGCACTCTGTTTAGTTTGGAGTTCAATGGAGGCAATATTTTCCACTGGCAATTTGCAAATGTGCAAGGACAAATTAGGTGGAAAGATTACATGTTATATATAGTGCTGAGATCAGTAAGATCATTTTGCAGATTAAGCAAATGTTTCCATTTCTATTAAAAATGTGCCCATGAATTAAGTGTGTTAGCAGAGTTTCTTATAATAAAACTGCTTAGATATTCTAGTGGATAGACTATTAGATTTAAAAATATTACATTTTCCTAATAACTATAATTATATACAGAGATAAATGATCTTGAAATTATGACAAAGACTTTACAATGTGTTTGTAATTATGACAAAGACTGTTTGATGACGGTCATTGGAAGATAAATACTGTATATTCTTCCTTTTTTTTATTAGTTAACCAAAATAAAGTATTAAAAGACTATATGGTATAAATCCTGATTTAGATAGAGGCATAAAACTTATTTATGGACATTTAGCACATACATTTGACACCATGAACCTGTTTGACATTTTTTGTTATACTGAAGCCTTACGCTAATGCATCATTTTTTAAAAATGATGATATCAACTCTAACAAAATAATAGTTACCTACATTATATATTTTATTGCTTAAAATATTAGTTGATAAAATTTAAACATGACAATTTATTTGATAATGATACAGAGAAGAGACAGGGAAATACCGGGTAGAAGAGGGCAGCTCCTGGCAAAGGCCTCACCCTCAAGCCTGAAAACCCACGACTTTAAATGGGAACGGGCATTCCTGTTTTCACACCCTAAAGTTGCCTTTTGGCCTGCCACACCTCTGTCTTGTACCCGTATAAACCCCAGACCCCTGGCTCCAGAAGCAGATGAGTAGACGAACAGAAGAGCAGAAGAATGGCAGAATGGTGTGGCAGAGAGAAGGAATGTCTGAACATTGAGAGGAATTTGGCTGGGGACAGTCAGAGTGAAAATCAGCTGCTGGATGGCCACATTCCAGGGTGAGATCATCTTCTCACTCCATCCCACTTCCAGCTCCCCATCCATTCTGCTGAGAGCCACCTCCACCGGTCAATAAAACCCCCACATTCATCCTTCAAGTCCCTGTGTGACCTGACTTTTCCTGGATGCCAGACAAGAGCTCCAGATACAGAAAGCTGTTGCACTGGCCCTTTGCCCTTGTGAAAAGGTAGAGGGTCCACTGAGCTGTCTAACACTTAAGCCATCTGTGGATGGCAAGGCTAAAAGAACACACTGTAACACACGTCCACTTGCACTTTGGGAGTCTCAGACACCCACTCTGGACGCCACTGTGTGGCCAGAGCCCAGGGGCACTTGCCCCAGCTCCTGCACCTGCCCATCCGTGGACTCCCCATCCCATAAGGCATTTGAGCATGCCTAGCGGCTGAAAAAGATGAACTGCACCCTGTCACATGTCCTGCGAGTGGGGCCAGGGAACTCTCACACTTCAATAATACTTGAAATGCATTTACAAAGTAAGACAATTTATATGTGTATTAATATCTGCATAATAAAGATCTCAAAATTAACAGATTTATACCTTTGATAGGTAAATAATAGTAAGATTTTGAATAAATATAGCACTAAGCAGTGGAGCAGTGTTTCAAAGCCTTGTGCTGCAATATTTGATGTGATTTTGAACCCCAGTTCTACTTAGCATAATTAATAAGCTTTTTATAAAGGAATGTTCTCATTAAAGGTATATATCAATGTTTTAAAATAAGCACATATAATGCTATCTTTTGAGTTTAGCTTTTTAATGTCATGTTCCAAGTGTTTTTAGGAACTGCTTTTGTGCCCATGCTACATGCTAATGATTTACCTGGAGATGTCCTTTAAGCAAGACAATGGTGAATACTCCTTAGTGATTACTTGTTATCTTCAAGGCTCTTTGAAGTTAGGCTTTCTCTATATTATAAACCTCTGCTCATCTATGAGAACGCTATGAGCCTTGTAATTCTTTATCTGCTCTTTGACACGACCTAATTGTCTGCCTTCCTATCGTCTCTTGCTAAGCTACGGATAGAAACTCTTTTAACTCTTGCTCTGAGTGTGTTTTTTTGTTGTTGTTTCTCCTGGTGCCCATGACCTGTACATGGATCTAATATGAATCAGTGATCTCATCTAAAGAGGCTTTGGAAATCTGGTTCTTTACTATGACATACCTAA
This sequence comes from Homo sapiens, assembly GCF_000001405.40. Taxonomy (NCBI): domain Eukaryota; kingdom Metazoa; phylum Chordata; class Mammalia; order Primates; family Hominidae; genus Homo; species Homo sapiens. Next base: position 18,753,220 of record NC_000005.10, on the reverse strand, counting down.
TTTCCCAAGATTTGAAGTCCCCAAGATGCATAACAGATCCCAGTAAACTCAAGCATTATCAGTCACTGTTATTAGCAAAGCAGTTGTGGACCACAAATCATTTTATATTTTAGGTAATTTATCTCATAATTTAGCTCCAAGCATGCTGTTACTTAAACCTTAAAAATATGCTGATTTCTATAGCTCTGTGCCTTTACAGTGTGTAGGTTCTCTTCCTCCTACCTAGAATGCCCATCTAATGTTTTGTGTGCTTAACAAAAACTACAGTTATTTCTCAGGTTCCACCAAAGGTAATATAAAAAACCTAACCTAACTTTTTCAGAAATGAATTCCTCAATCTGCTTTATTTTACTTTTGTTTGCATTGCTCTTATCCTGAGAAGTATTTTAGTTCCTTGAAAGTGAGTGTCAAATTTATCTTCTTTTTTCTTTTTGCTTTTTCTTCATTTTCCAAAGGCATATGGTAGTTATTAAAAAATTGAAAGCAATGAAAGTGATAGAATGATTAAATACATACTTTAGATTATAAAAGAACAGAATTTCCAGCATGACTATTTGAAGACTTCAAACTAGATGTTTCAAAAAAAAATCATGGTATTTTCAATTTTCGTATGTGCTTTTGTGTAGAGTTGTATTCCAATAATAATGGAAACTGTGACTTGGTAAATATGTAAATCAGTTCTTGCTAAGTATTGGCAGTAGTTTTTAGCTAACTTTCTTTGCTGTGAACTTGCTGATCTTGCTGATTATATGTGGTGCTTATCTGTTCAGAGAAGGTAGATATAAAATGTTGAGAACAGAAAGCATTTTCAGGATGGTTTTTACTTTACATAACAGGGAATCTAGGCATGTGTCTTAGATACAGGGTCACAATGCATCTTACTTTTCCCTTGCTAATACAATTGAGAGAGAGCTAAAAGCCTTTAATGGCCTTTAGAAGAGCAGAGATGCTTCATTAATGCAGCATTGAAGGTAAAAAGTTTAAGGATACACAGTTTTTGAACTGTCATAGCCAAATACTTTTCTTTGTTCATCAGAAAAGCAGATGCAAGTTGCCAAGTTGACATCAGGGAAAGGTGTTTCTCTGGGGATGCCATGATTTCATATCTCCTGGCTTACATATTAAGAGATAGAAATGTTTTCTTTTTGAAATGTCTTTGTGGTTTAAACTCAAGTGACATCGACTGCAAATAGCCTGAGGCAAAGTTAGCTTTGATTGTTCCTTTGCTTTGAATGATCTAGTCACTTTAGAAAAGATAAATCATATCAAGGGGAAAATGCTTAGAAATGAAATATGGAAGGAAAAGTATTTTAAACAACACAGATTTGTTTGCTGAAATAATGATTAACCTATCAAATTTCCTGAAACAAAGATTTAATTTTGACTTCTAAATTTTATATTATATTTAAACACATTATTTCTAGTATTATATTATTATTGTTAACTCTAACATTGCAGAATATAAACTCATTTCCTTTTGTCTCTTCATTTCTGAAGGGTCTGGGCCATCTGTATTCCTGCCTGGATAGGCTGTTGTAGTTTCCCATTGACCTTAATCACAGGGCATGGTACTACTAAGAGATGCCCTAATTGATCTCCTGTATTCCATGCATACCCGTCCTCCGTTGTGAAGTAGTGGACCGATTTCATCTTGATAGTCTGGGTCAATCACCCCAGCTAACACTGTAACTCCCTTCTTAGCCTGTTGACTTAAAGGTAAGAGGAGCCCAAAGTGTCCAGGTGGCAATCTTAACTTCCAGTTTAATGGAATCGTTGTTGTCTCTTCTGGTGGCAGCATTCCTCCCTGTGGAACTAACATGTCTAGGCAAGCAGAACATAATGTCACAAACACAGGAAGCAAAAATTTTGCTGGTGGATCACTAGGGGTGATGGTGAGTGGTTCCACTTCCAATTCTACCCCTTGATTCCTGGACCCATGAATCCTAGCTATGAGAGAAATAGTACCATATATTGGACACTGATTCAGAGCATACACAGCCTTCTGGAGAACTTTGCTCCAGCCCTGCAAAGTATGGTCACCTAGTTTGCATTGTAATTGTGACTTCAAAAGGCCATTCCATTGTTTTATCAATCCAGCTGCTTCAGGATGATGGGGAACATGGTAAGACCAGTGAATTCCATGAGCATGAGCCCACTGACACTCTTCTTTAGCCATGAAGTAAGTGCCTGGGTCAGAGGCAATGCTATGTGGAATACAATGATGGTGGATAAAGCCTTCTGTAGTCCATGGATGGTAGTCTTGGAAGAAGCATTGTGTGCAGGATAGGCAAACCCATATCCAGAGAAAGTGTCTATTCCAGTAAGGACAAGCCTCTACCCTTTCCATGATGGAGGAAGTCCAATAAAATCAACCTGTCACCAGGTAGCTGGCTGATCACCATGAGGAATGCTGCCATATCGAGGGATCAGTGTTGGTCTCTGCTGCTGGCAAATTGGGCACTCAGCAGAGGCCGTAGCCAGGTCAGCCTTGGTGAGTGGAGGTCCATGTTGCTGAGCCCGTGTGTAACCTCCATTCCTGCCACCATAGCCACTTTGGTCATGGGCCCATCAGGCAATGATAGGTGTAGCTGGGGAAAGAGGCTGAGTGGTGTCCACAGAACAGGTCATCCTATTAACTTGATTATTAAAATCCTCCACTGCTGAGGTCACCCATTGGTGAGCACTCTCATGGGATACAAATATCTTCACAGTTTTTAACCCCTCAGAGGGGTACATCTACATACCTCTTCCCCAAATTTCTTTGTCACCAATTTTCCAATAATGCTTCGTCCAAGTCCCTGACCATCCAGCCAAACCATTGGCTACGGCCCATGAATCTGTATATAACCACACATCTTGCCATTTCTCCTTCCATGCAAAGTGCACAACTAAGTGCACTGCTCCAAGTTCTGCCCACTGGGAAGATTTCCCTTCACAGCATCCTTCAGGGATGCCCTAGAAAGGGGCTGTAGTGCTGCAGCTGTCCACTTTTGAGTGGTGCCTGCATATCGTGCAGAACCATCTGTGAACCAGGCCCTAGTCTTCTCTTCCTCTGTCAACTGATCAAAGGGAACTCCCTGTGAGGCCATCGGTGCAGGATGGGGAAGAGAAGGCAGGGTGGCAGGAGTGGAGAACATGGACATTTGAGCCACTTCCTCATGTCGCTTATTTAAGCCTTCAGGACCAGCTTGAGTCCAATCATGTATATACCACTTTCATTTGATGATGGAATGCTGCTGTGCACGACCCGCTTTATGGCTAGATAGGTCAGAAAACACCCAGTTGAGGTTGCATGGTGACTTGATGACTCATAGTCAAATGTTCAGTTTCCACCAAAGCCCAGTAGGCCAAGAGTTGTCTCTCAAAAGGAGAGTAGTTAACTACAGAAGATGACAGGGCTTTGCTCAAAAATTCTAGAGGCCTCTGCTATATTCACCTATGAGGGCCTGCTGAAGGCTCCAAATAGCATCCCTATCTGCTACTGACACCTCGAACACCATTGAATTTACTATGTCATATGGCCCAAGTGGCAGAGCAGCTTGCACAGCAGCCTGGACCTATTGCAGAGACCTGTTCTGGACCCTACTCAAAACTGGCAGCCTTTCAGGTCACTTGATAATGGGCCAGAGTAACACACCCAAGTTAGGAATGTGTTGCCTCCAACATCCAAATAGGTCCATGAGGCATTGTGCCTCTTTTTTGGCTATAGTAGGGTCCAAATGCAGCAACTTATCCTTCACCTTAGAAGGAATATCAGGACCCACACCACTGGACCCCTGTAAATTTTACCGAGGTAAAAGTTCCCTGAATTTTAGTCAGATTTATTTCCCATCCTCTGGCACGCAAATGTCTCACCACTAAGTCCAGTGTGTTTGCTACTTGTTGCTCACTGGATCCAATCAGCAAAATGTCATCAATGTAATGGACCAGTGTGATATCTTGTGGGAGCGAAAAGTGATCAAGGTGTCTCCAAATAAGATTATGACACAAAGCCGGAGAGTTGATATACCCATGAGGTAGGACAGTAAAGCTATATTGCTGGCCTTTCCAGCTGAAGACAAATTGCTTCTGGTGGGCCTTATGGTTAAGAATGGAAAATAAGGCATTTGCCAAGTCAATGGCTACATACCAGGTACCAGGAGATGTGTTTATTTGCTCAAAGAATGAAACCACATCTACAGCAACTGCAACTGGAGTCACCACTTGGTTAAGCTTACGATAATCTGCTGTCATTTTCCAAGATCCATCTGTCTTCTGCACAGGCCAAATGAGAGAGTTGAATGGGGATGTGGTGGGAATTACCACTCCTGCATCTTTCAAGTTCTTGTGGTGGCACTAATCTCCACAATCCCTCCAGGGATGTAATATTGTTTCTGATTTACTATTTTCCTAGATAGAGGCAGCCCTAATGGCTTCTATTTGGCCTTTTCCACCATAATAGCCCTCACCCTTCCAGTTAGGAAGCTAATGTGTGTGTTGTGCCAGTTGCTAAGTGTGTCTATGCCAATTATGCATTCTGGCACTGGAGAAATGACCACAGGATGAATCTGGAGACCCACTGGACCCACTGTAAATTGGATCTGAGCTAAAACTCCATTAATTACCTGACTTCCATAAACCCCTGCTTTAACTGGAGGACCACGATGATGTTTTGGGTACCCTGGAATCAACATCAGCTCAGAGCCAGTATCCAGTAGTCCTCAAAATATCTAATAATTTCCCTTTCCCCATTGCACAGCTACCCTAGTAAAAGGCCAGAGGTCTCCTTGGGGAAGGATGGGAAAAAGATTAAAAACATAAATTTTCAGTAGTGTAGTGGGGTCCTTCCTCAAGGGGACCTGGCTTCCCCTTCATTCAAAGGGTTCTGGGTTTATAAACTGGCTCAAGTCTGGAAATTGATTGAGGGGCTGTGATTCTCTGTTTTATAGTTCAAATTAGTCTTTTGTCCATTCAACCTAGAAGTTTTCTGCTTATATAAATTAAGAAGGAATGCAGTAGGCTTTCTATCATTTTCAATTCTAGGAGCATTTTAATTAATTAGCCAATGCCAAAGTTCTACATGAGTCAGACTATTCTGATAACTGCTTTACCTCTGCTGTCCACTGTGATAGCTACACCCATCTTGCCTTTGATGGTTGAGTGCTGCCACTTAGCCCCTGCCACCCTGGGATCCAATTATTCCCATTGTATTTAAGTTTTGTAGTTGAGTGACTGCAGCTCCCACTGTTAGATGTGACACACAGAGAAGAGCAATTACAGAGCTCTTCAAAGATGCAAGTGATGCCCTCACAAATCTGTTTCACAAGGCATTAGTCAAGGGTATATCTTCTGGACCCTCCCAGCTTGGATGAGTAGGTCTAAAGTGACTAATCCACTCCACCATCCCAATCTCTCTAAGCCTTTAGATCCCTGCCTCTACATTAAACCAAGAAAGATCAGGCATTTCCAGCTCGCTCACAGTGGGCCATCTGTTAATCCATATTTCAGCTAACAAAGCAAATAAACTATTAGAACCTTGTTTAACTCCCCAAGCTGCAACATTAAATGCAGAGTCCATACTTAGTAGGCCCAAATCAATAAATTCAGCCTGATCCACCTCTGATCCTTTCACCATTATCCCACACCCTTAATATTCATTCCCGTGCCTGTTCTCCAGATTTCTGTTTACAGAAATTAGAAAACTCAAGCAGTTCTTTTTGACTGTAGTGCACCTCCTCATCAGTCACACTCTCAACCTCACCTCCAGGGGCCCACCAGGACTTTAGTCTAATTATAGGTCTAGAAGCAAACAGGGGTGTGGGGATGCCTGCTGAGGAGAATCAACATTATCTTGCCTGGCAACTGCCTCAGGGGAGGCCAACACTGTGGCCTCAGGCAGCATAGGGTTTATCTCCTCAGACAAAGTTGGAAAGGCTGATGGCAGCATGGGTTTGGGAAGGAATGTTGACATTACTGGGGATGGAGAAGCTGTTTCTTCTGGCAAAAAAGTTTCAATGGAGTTTACAAGCACAGTGTCCCCAGCATCATCAGGGTCCTCTCACATGTCCCCATTCCAAGTTGTAGGGTCATGTTCTTTTCCAATTAATGCCCTCACTTTAACAGTAGACACCTGGTGAGGCTGTGCATGCACCTCTTGTTGCAGGTCAGCCACTCACATGATAAAAGCTTGTGTCTGCTTTTCCACAATTTCAGCTTTTTCGCTAAAGGAGATAAAACTCTCATTCAGGGCAATCATAGCAGATTTGAGGCTCAGTATCTGCTTCTGAAGCTGGGAGTTAGAATTTCTGAGTTCATCATTTTCTTTCATTACTTTGTCAGGTGAACTGAGGAGCAACCAACCAACTTCATTATGTTCCTTAATTATATATACATATAGTGAAAGGTATTATGTATAGAGTCACTAAACTCCTTGCCTCTCATGGGTGGTGAATCAGGAGTGTCAAATGCATTTATTTTGCATAACTCTCTAAGCAGTTCATGCCAAGGATTGTCAGTATTCTCCATACAATTAGAAATAGAGTCCTTAGCATTTTGGGGTCTAATTATATTAAGCAGCCAACTCCAGAAACCCCAAAACCAATGAAATAACTGCATTCTTACCATTTTGTTCCTCTAGAACCATTTCTGGTACCAAAATTTGTATGAGGATTCCCTAGAGAGACAGAACTAATAGTGAGGGACTAGGTGGCTAAGTTGGCTGGACTTCCTGGGTCAATAGGGACTTCCCTAAGGGGACTTTCCCCTAAGCCAAAATGAGTCACAGCTGCAAGCTAAGGGTTTGAAACTTCAACCAATCATATAGGGAGTTTAAGCTCTAGCTGCAGTCTGATGTTTTTAACCAGTTAGGCCCACCAACCCACAAGTGGATAGAAAATAAGCTAATTCAACAGGGCAGAAAAAGGAAAAGGGGAGGGGTCATAAGGGAACATAAGCATAAGACACTCAAGCTAGAAACAGCAACCCTTCTGGGTCCCCTTCCACTGCGTGGAAGCTTTACTTTCGCTTTCACTTTACTTTTGCTTTCACTTTAATAGATCGTGCGGCTGCACACGCTTTGGGTCCATGCATTTCTCTAATCGAGCTGTAACACTTGCTGCTGCGGTCCATGGCTCCATTCCTTGAAGCCCACGAGACCAGGAACCCTTGGATTGAGAAAAAACCTTCAATTGGGAGGATACTTCTTATCTCATTTCTAGGGGCCCATCCGGGATTTCTCCACAGCAGTGAGTAATATTGGACCCCTTTCACTTGCTATTCTGTTCTATCTTCTCGCTAACAACTGGAGGAAAACACTGGGCAACTGTGGGCCACTTAAAAGCGACAAGCATGGCTGCCAGATTTAAGACACGGGTGTGAGGCTTTCCAGGAAAGGGCTCTCTAACAACCCCCAGCCCTCTGGGCTGGAAGCATTGGTGTGCCTGGAGCCAGTTCCACCTTTCCTGGGAAAAGCTGAGGGCTGGCTAGAGGCGGAAAACTATTGTCCCGAACTCCTGGCACTGACCCAGTCGAGATCATGGCACAGCGAGAAGCCTCTACTCTGCAGACACCCATGCATGCATTCTCTGCCTTCTCTGACCATGCCTCCTGGGTCCTAATGTCCTCAGAGATGACTTTCTTAAGTCCCTATCCTCTAGAATTTTTCCTAACCCTGAGTCTAAGAATCTTTTGGCTAGGAGCCTAAGTCAAATGGGGAGGCAATCCGAAGACCCTTGCACATGGTGTGCCCAGACTTATTCTTATGCAAATTGGTATCAATATACTTATACGGGACTTGTCCCTCATAACCTGTATCCTGGGCACTATCTGGGACATCAAACGGCATGTCAGTGGCTGATAGAAGGCCTAGGACATTTTCCCTTTTGTTGCCCTAAACTTACTCCAGATTGTAGAGGCTACTTTAATTACCAGCTTTCCTGCCTGGGGTCAGCGATTAGAACTGTAGAACTTTGGGCTGGGCATGGTGGCTCATGCCTGTAATCCTGGCTAGCATGGTGAAACCTGTCTCTACTAAAAATACAAACAATTAGCTGGGCGTGGTAGCAGGCGCCTATAGTCCCAGCTTCTAGGGAGGCTGAGACAAGAGAATGACATGAACCCAGGAGGTGGAGCTTGCAGTGAGCTGAGATCTCACCACTGCACTCCAGCCTGGGCAACAGAGTGAAACTCCATCTCAAAAAAAAAAAGGACTGTAGAACTTCTCGACTTGAAGCAGTCAGACGTATGGGCTGACAACAATGTAATAGACAATAGGTCCCCTGATCCAAGTCCAAAGGTCAATGAATATTCTTTTGAGGGAAAATGGGGTCAGAATTCGGGTACAAAAAGCACTGTTCCAACCTTGGTCCTCCAATTTGCCACTGCCTACTCTAAAACTGTTGTGCTCCAGTGCCATTTTCAAGGAATTTATCTTGCTGGGACAACTCCAAGCCCAGAAATATGCTAATTGGTGCCTGGTCTCTGAACTCAAAATACACCCCTAACCTAAGACCCACTCGCAGATGCAAAGACAACTGTGGGCATGCTGGTAAGGAGCCACTAAAATCGAGCAGCCCTGGGCCCTTTTTTCTGTGGCTAAAAAGAGGCAGGAAATGAGTGTGAGCAAAACTGCTATGTTAGTAAGCACAATTAAATCTGATAAGCAGAGTTCCATGGGTGATTGGGCACCCTGGAAAGAAGAGGACACTAGAACCATAGGGGATGCCCTAGGGAGAGTGCTCACTAGGTGATGACTAGGGGTGCAGGCACTCCTATGTTCTCCTTTCAGATAGGAGACGTTCCCTCAAAAGCTAAGCCACTCCTAAGGTGTAGTCTGGATAATTGGGACCAATTAGACCCTCAAATGCTGAAGAAGAAGCGACTTATATTTTTCTGCAGCACCACCCGGCCACAATATCCTCTTCCTGGAGGAGAGACATGGCCACCCAAGGGAAGTATAAACTATAATACCATCCTACAGCTAGATCTCTTTTGTAAAAGAGAGGGCAAATGGAGTGAAGTGCCATATGTACAGGTTTTTTCTCACTAACGGAAAACCCACAATTATGTAAAAAATGTAATATATATATCCTACCGGGGATCCTCAAAGCCTACCCCCATACCCAGGGCTCCCCACGGCTCCCCCTCTGACTAGTAAGGACTCTCCTTTGGCCCTAACGGCCCAAAAGGAACCAGACCCAAAGATAGTCAAGTAACCAAAAGGCGCCAATGGCCCTCGATTGTGCCCCCTCCAAGCCATGGGAGGAGGAGGAGACTTTGGCCTGGTGTGAGTACATGTCCCCTTTTCCCTCTCAGACTTAAAACAGATCAAACTGAACGGAGAAAAATTCTCAGATAATCCTGATGGATGCATAGATGTCTTACAAGGATTAGGACAATCTTTTAGTTTAGCATGGAGAGATATTATGTTGTTGTTAGGTCAAACATTAACTCCCAACAAAAAACAGGCCACCTTAGTTGCAGCCCAGGAGTTTGGGGATCTCTGGTACCTAAGCCAGGTAAATGATAAAATGACATCAGAAGAAAGGGAACAACTCCCCACAGGCCAACAGGCAGTTCCCAGTGTGGATCCCCACTGGGACCTCAACTCGGAGCATGGAGACTTGAGTCTCAGGCATTTACTGACTTGTATAGTAGAGGGATTAAGAAAGACCAGAAAAAAGCCAATGAATTACTCAGTGATGGCCACCATAACAGAGGAAAAGGAAGAAAACCCTACGGCATTTTTAGAGAGGCTAAGGGAGGCATTAAGAAAGCATACCTCCTTGTCACCTGACTCTGTTGAAGGCCAACTAATTTTAAAGGGTAAGTTTATTACTCAGTCAGCTGCACACATTAGAAAAGAACTTCAAAAGTCTGCCCTGGGCCCTGAGCAAAATTTGAAAACTCGATTGAATTTGGCAACTTCAGTATTTTATAATAGGGATCAGGAGGATCAGGCTGAGTGAGACAGATGAGACAAGAAAAAGGCCGTCACCTTAGTCATGACCCTCAGGCAGATGAACTTCAGTGGCTCTGAAAGAAAGAAGGGCTGGGCAGGCAACCCGCCTAACAGGGCTTGTTATCAGTGCAGCTTACAGGGGTACTTCAAAAAGGACCGCCCAAACAAAAATAAGCTGCCCCCTCTTCTATGTCCCTTGTGCCAGAGGGATCACTGGAAGGCACACTGCCCCCGAAGGCGAAAGTCCTCTGGGCCAGAGGCCACTACCCAGATGGTCCAACAACAGGACTGAGGGTGCCCGGGACAGGTGCCAGCCCATGCCATCACCCTCACAGAGCCCCGGCTAAGTGTAACCATTGAGGGCCAGGAAACTAACTTCCTCCTGGACACTGGTGCGGCCTTCTCAGTTTTACTCTTCTGTCCTGGTCAGTATCTTCCTGGTCTGTCACCATCAAAGGGGTCCTAGGACAGCCAGTCACTAGGCATTTCTCCTACCCCCTAAGTTGTGACTGGGGAACCTTATTTTTCTCACATGCCTTTCTTATGCCTGAGAGCCCTACCCCTTTACTAGGGAGGGACATATCAGCTAAAGCAAGGGCCATTCAAACCCTTAGCACACCCAGTCCCTACAAAGGATTAGACCTCTCAAAGCTACACAAAACTCTTCACACTCACTCCTTCTTGCTAAATTTATTTAATGTCACCCTTACCGAAATTCGCAAGGCCTCCAGCCAAAATCCAGCTGACTGCTTGATGTGCCTCCCCTTATGCTTTAAACCATCCGTCCCAGTACCTGTTCCCGAACATTGGAATGCCACCGAACTGAGAACAAACACCACAGGGAAGACATTGAACATTCTTAATAAAAAGAAGTGATAAATGTTTTAAATAATGAATGTGCTATTACTGTGATCAAAACATGACTATGTACTCCATGAATATGCATAGTTATTAATATTATTAATATTATTTAACAATAACATAAATTAAAAGTACATTAATCTAAGGTTAATTTATTATTGAAAAAAGAATATTTAAAATAAATTTAGAGTAGCCTAAGTGTACTGTGCATATAAAAACTATGGGTAGTGTACAGTTAGGTTCTAGGACTTTGCATTCGCTCATCACTCACTCACTGACTCACCCAGAGCAATTTTCAATCTGGCAAACTCCATTCTTGGTAACGGCCCTATACAGGTGTATCATTTTTTATCTTTTAAATATGTACCTTATCTATGTTTAGATATATTTTGATACCCAAATATTTACCATCATGTTACAGTTGCTTTTGGTATTTAGTACAGTAACATGCTGTACAGATTTGTAGCTCGGGAGCTATAGGCTATACCATATAGCCTAAGTGTGTAGTAGGCTATACCATCTAAGTTTGTGTAAGTACACTTTATGACATTTGCACAACAGCAAAATCACCTAAGGAGAGAGTTCTCAGAACATATACCAAAGGCTAAGCAACACATCACTGTATAATCAAAATCACAGGTTATTATCTCTGCTAATTTAAAATGATAATATTTAACTTTGTCCTTGACCTACAAATGTCTCAACTATTTAGTTCCTTTTGAGTTTGCATTTACCAAGAGTAGGCAGAAGAAATATATTCAAGTATAACAAATTTGGACTCTCTTATGATAGAAATCTTTATATAGAGCTTAACCCATCAAAATAAAATCTTTAAAACATATGAGCTTTCATATATAATGTGGACAGTTTCAAATGTGACAACCTATATACTACTGAGGAATGTGCTTCCATTGTATTCTTTAAGGAAATATATAAAGTACAAGAGTCCTGTGTGCCAGCATCACTTAATGATAGCTTTTTGGAGATTGTCTGCACTCTCGGAGCAGACTCGGCAACCTGAAGTTTATGACAATTTCAGAGCTTTGGCCTGAGTTGAAACAATTCTGACCTGGGAATAGGGAGCTGGATCTTATTGCTTACCAAGAAATATACCATAGTTAGTGTTCCTTTGCCAATTCAGAGTTTGACAGCCTAAGATCCAGGTATCATTTTTAGGTATATCTTATATTGATCTCTATTATACCCAAATTAAGCAAGTGTAAAGATTTTCAAAGATGTTCCCCTAAATCACATGGCTCCTACAACCCTTTGGTAGAAGAAATGAGACATCTGAGGGCATCAAGTTTAGACCCATTGAGATTCATCTCAGGGTGATTACCCTGGAGTGTTTGTGAAGGGAATCTGAATGACAGCGGAGCTCTAGTCTGAGAAAACCATTCTCATAATGCGCGTCTGAGATAGCTGCATGGATTCTATCGACTTTCTGATGGCTTTTATTTGTCTACTCAAAACAAAATTTTGCTGCAATAAAAATGAATCCATTAAAGTTCCCATTGGTGACATGTTAAGGTCAGGTGTTCAAACAATAATCCAAGAACCACCACGTCAGGAAAACCGAACTTGTTTCTTCAAGCCTCAGTAAAACACATACCAGTTATCTACAAGTATTCTGATAGAATGGTAGGACTTGAAATCCATGAATTTAGTAGGCTACTCTCTGCTTTGGAAAAATCTTTTGTTATCAAGTTGGTAATTTTTTTCAGCTCCTTCAAAGTGTGCTCTAAATTCACCATGTAGTCAAGGCCTACCTGATCATCATTTTAAATTGGAAACTTCCTCACTCTTTCAAAATTCTTGATTCTCATTACCCTGCTTTAGTTTTTCCATTGTTTGTTATCATCTATCATAAGTATAATATCCTAATTTAACATGTTCACTGTCTGTCTCTACAATGAAACTGAAAGTGCTAAGGGATATTGGTCAGCATTTTTGTTTCTATGTTTGACTTTTATACTGAAAACTTAGAATAGCATTTGGCACATAATAAACAGTACATAAATTTTTGTTAAAGAAATCAATGATAATACTTTTCTAATAAATTGAATTGCAAAAAGAAATGCTTATTGAAATTACAAATGCTGAACTAAGAAATTTACATACAATTATTCTAGATATTTCTTTCATCTGCATTATATTTTAACAGTTCCTTGGCCAGGATATCATCAATATACTATAGTAAATATTTGCAAGGCAATTTGATATGTCTTATTTACCTTTAAGCTTTTTGAGATGTGGACATTCTTACTAACATTTCTGGATCCTGGCATAGTATGTACATAGTGTTGAGTACATAGTAGGGCTTAATGAATATTTTTCTAATCTTATTGCATTGACTAACTTGCATGTATTTTCCTTTCCATGAATATGAATACCTGCAACTACATAGTCAGGAGATTTTAGTCAGTTAATTCCTAGAGCACAAATCTTCCCAATATTGTTTTATATATATCCAGTGGCTTCTCTGTGATACCTAAAAATCCTCTATTATTGCCTCAGTGGGACTTACCTTGGGTCATCTAGTATGTGTATTTATTTTTGCAAGAGTAAATAAGACAGTGTTTTAGTGAGTTCATTTGGGGTTGTTGATAATTTATCATTGTATATGAATATGTATTCATGTTTACTTACTGGAGAGTTATTTGATATAATTAAGAATTTATATATATAATATATGCATTATATATATGGAATATATATATTCTCTCTCTATATGTGTGTGAGTGTATGTGTGTGTGTATACATATTCTTTAAAGTTGCACGGGCCAGGCACTGTGGCTTATGCCTATAATCCCAGGGCTTTGGAAGGCCAAGGCAGGAAGATTTATTATGGCTAGAAGTTTGAGACCAGCTTGGGCAACATACTGAGACCCCATCTCTACAAAAAAATTTAAAAATTTAAAAATTAGCCAGGCATGGTGGCAAGTGCCTGTAGTCCTAGCTACTCAAGAGGCTGAGGCAGGAAAATTGCTTGAGCCCAGGAGTTTGAGGCTGTAGTGAACTATGATTGTGCCACTGCACTCCAGCCTGAGCAACAGATTGAGATCCTGACTCTAAAAAATATTAACAAACAGAAAGAAAAGGAAAGTTGCACAATGCCTATTCTATGGGATAGAAAACTTTCTTCTACTTCATGATGCTAAAAGTAAAATTTATATTTTGCCTCTTCTTACTGAGAATCAAGATTTTAGAGCTTCCCATTAATGTTGATGTTTTATAGCATCTGCCTGCACACTTTGCAGTTGTGTGTGAAACACAAATGGGATCAATTCATTTCTATACCCTTTATTAGGTACTAGCCTGGGGAAAGCACTCAACTGGCTTGTCTTGTGATTGTTCGGTGACAAACAGCTGAATCACTTCACTCCATCTTAAAGGAGCCATATTCATTCTCACAATTTGCCTCATTTGGTCCTGTCAAGTCATCTATGCTACATCTTAGGACTTCTTACCCCTAATAAATACCAATTTTCTGTTATTTACTCCCCTACTGCTCATAATACAAAAATCATGCTACACCTTCAATTCAACTTTAATGACAACCACATAATTTTCATGTTTAATGTTTCTCAATGTAAATCAAAATAGATATTACCCAATATTTTATACAAAAATTTACTTTTATATTTCATATTAATATTAATTTAACCAGAAAAATTACAAACATTCATGTGCTATTATCTCAAATTTAAAGGATAAGTTGTTGAATGCTAAAGCTGAAAAGGAGTTCTGAGAGATTCATGGTTTGATTAAGTCCGTCAAATCCTACCGTCTAATAGAGGAGACAAATAGAAAATTGCAACCTACTGTGATATGCACTACAAAAGTCTAAAGCATGAAATATTCAAAAATACAAAGGACAGACATTATCTGGATAGATGAAAACATAGAGTGTCTCCTGAAGTGTTGGGGAAGAGGAGAGCAAGTGAGGAGACACAGTTTAACTGAATCCGGAATGGTCAACAGAGATTAGCTTGGTGAGAACACTTTACTCACAAGTAGTGTCTATTCAAAGTTCAGAGATTAGAAAGAGCCCACCGAAGTTGCTTAGAGAACTGCACAAGTTCAGTGCGATTGCAGAAAAGTATGTGGCTGGAGATGAATGGGAGGTGCCGGCAGGAAATGTAGTCAGAGATTTTGAGAAAAGTCTAATTATCAGTTATCCATATTGTCATGCCAAAGAGTTTGGATTTATTATGATGGTCTTGGCAATATATGATACAATTAAAACAGAGTGCCCCTTTCAGTAAGCAAATAAGCATAAAGATCCGAAGTGCCAGAAGGAAATCTGGGGATATGATAGATTTTCAGGAGTCATCAGCATATGGATGGCAAGTGAGTTCATGGTATGTAGAAAAACAAGGAAAAGGACCGAGAGAACATTGTCAGCCCTTAAGAAATTTTAGACCAAAGAGTCAAAGGAATTAAGAATAGCATGAATAGCCAGGTGTGGTGGCTCACGCCTGTAATCCCAGCACTTTGGGAGGCCGAGGTGGGCAGATCACAAGCTCAAGAGATTGAGACCATCCTGGCCAACATGGTGAAAACCAGTCTCTACTGAAAATACAAATATTAGCTGGGTGTGGTGGCATGAGCCTGTAGTCCCAGCTACTCGAGAGGCTGAGGCAAGAGAATCGCTTGAACCCTGGAGGCCGAGGTTGCAGTGAGCCGAGATTGTGCCACTGCACACTCCAGCCTGAGGACAGAGTGAGACTCCGTCTCAAAAAAAAAAAAAAGAATAGCATGAATGAGGATTGCCAGAGAATGCAAGACACATTTCTCAACAGTGCTGCGGCAGACAGTTCTTACTACATCCTTTTTCTTTCTTTTCAACCACATCTGCTATTTTGTTTAGGCATCAACATGGCAGCAAATTCTGAAAGTTTCCTCTCCTGGCTCCAGGAAACGATCTGGATTCACTGGGTATCAGCCAGTATTTGTCATGCTGATCAAAATTGTGAGAAGTTGTCTGGAAGTAAGCAACTAAAGCTAAGATGAACTCTGCTGAGACCTACTTGCTACAAAACATTTGCCCTTATAAAAATCGAGGGCTGCACAAAAGAAGAGCCTTTTTTGTGTGTCACTGCTTCTGCCTTTCTGTTTTAGAGGCTCTTGTTTTAGGATGCCAGCACTGGTAGTCTTTGCAATCAAAGGACGCACAAAGAAGGCTTCTTAGTGTCTAGACCTTGTTGACAACTGAAGTCAGCTCTACAGGCTTCCTCGATTTATTTTTACACATCACAAGTAAATGCCTTTGCTGTGCAAGCTGTCAGTGTGCATAAGTGTTCATTTCTGTGTGTGTTTGTGTGTGTGTGAGAGGGAGAGAGACAGAGAGAGAGTGAGTTTCTAGCTTGCATCCTAATAAACTATCTGATGTAGATGAGGTTGTTCAATGTCCTAATCTTATAAAGAAATAAAGCAGCTGGGCATGGTGGCTCATGCCTGTAATCCCAGCACTTTGTGAGGCTGAGGCAGGCGGGTCACCTGAGGTGAGGAATTTGAGACCAGCCTAGCCAACATGACAAAACCCCGTCTCTACCAAAAATACAAAAATTAGCCGGACATGTTGACTCGCTCCTGTAATCCCAGCTACTTAGGAAGCTGAGGCAGGAGAATCGCTTGAACCTGGGAAGCGGAGGTTACAGTTAGCGGGGATTGCATCACTGCACTGCAGCCTGGGCAACAGAGTGTGAGACTGTCTCATAAAAAGAAAAAAAAAAGAAAGAAAGAAAGTAACAGCTGAAATAAAACACAAAATCCAGCTGTATAGTGAGTGTTGGAGAAACACAATTGAAAACAAAATAATCTCCCCAGTGGTAGCAGAGAAAGACAACTGCTTTATTACTGAATAGGCTTTAAACCGGAATATGATACATATCACATGGGATCTGCTAAGAGATTATGAAAACAGAAAGAAATCTTTCCTTTTATCAGCCAAGCAGATACAACCTATTATGGGCATGATTTCAAGATAAAAGATAGCTCATCCTCAAGTAAGAATTTAAAGTACACCCTAAATTTGCTTGGTAATTAGGGTGATCTTCTGTGTTAACTAGTTGGCTTCATTCAGAGAAGAAACCAACTTCACATATCTTTATGACAAGATACATTTTTGCAACATAAAGCAACAATTAGGCTCCTGCACTCCAGTGGAAACTGTGAGATTTGGATGATCTCTTCCTTGTTTACATTTCAAAGATGTGGCTTCCAGGTCTCTGGGAACGATTCACAGGTCATAAAGATGACAAAGGCCAATCCAGCTTTCAATAGAATTTATATACATTTCAAAGAAAGGAGAAAGTTCTCGCAAGTACAAGTTTTCTAAAGTAAATGCTCTAAGAAAA
This sequence comes from Homo sapiens, assembly GCF_000001405.40. NCBI lineage: Eukaryota > Metazoa > Chordata > Mammalia > Primates > Hominidae > Homo > Homo sapiens. Next base: position 18,736,060 of record NC_000005.10, on the reverse strand, counting down.
AGAAAGGAAGGGAAATGCCTTCCTTTCTTTTTTCTTTCTTTTTTTATTCTTTTTTAATTATTTTAATTTTTTTGGAAGGCAGTCTCGCTCTGTCACCCAGGCTGGAGTGCAGTGGCATGATCTCAGCTCACTGCAACCTCTGCTTCCCGGTTCAAGCAATTCTTGTGCCTCAGCTTGCCGAGTAGCTGGGACTATAGGCAGGTACCACCACGCCTCCCTAATTTTAATTTTTGTATTTTTAGTAGAGGTGGTGTTTCATCATGTTGGCCAGGCTGGTTTCTTTTCTTTCTTTTTTTTTTTTTTTTTGAGATGGAGTTTTGCTCTTGTTGCCCAGGCTGGATGGAATGCCAAGGCCCCGTCTCGGCTCACTACAACCTCCACCTGCTGGGTTCAAGCGATTCTTCTCCCTCAGCCTCCCGAGTAGCTGGGATTACAGGCATGTGCCACCACACCCAGCTAATTTTTGTATTTTTAGTAGAGACGAAGTTTCAACATGTCAGTCAGGCTGACCTCAGGCAATCCGCTGGCCTCGGCCTCCCAAAGTGCTGGGATTACAGGCATGAGCCACCGCACCCTGCCTGGCCAGGCTGGTTTCAAACTCCTCTACTCAAGTGATCTGCCCACCTCAGCCTCCCAAAGTGCTGAGATTACAGCCACGAACCTTTGCGCCAGGCCTTCCCTTATCTTCAAAAGGGAGAATTAAGCATCTTTTTTTATTTGCATTTGTTGTTCTATGAAGCAGCTTCAAGAAGACCAAAAATGAGGCCTGGATCTTAAACTTACACAGAGGTCAGGTCCTGATTCTGCAAATATTTTTAAAATTTCTGTTCAAAATGTAAGATATTTACAAATGACTTTTTGCTGTAAGAATTAGTCATTCAAACCAATGTGTTCCCATAGCATTTGCTTCATAAATGATTATACTCAGTAAATTGTCTTGCAAATAGAATGATCAATCTATTTTTCTGGGGATTGTAGCTTATCTGTCTTTGCAGCCCTAATGCCTTTCACAGTTCCTGATACAAGGAAAGTGATGAATAAATACTTATTCAACACAAATGTTTGGTGATTATTAAAGCAACAATTAACATGTCTTTTTTAGAAAAAAAAAAAAAAACAGAAAAGAATTCTCCTGAAAGCATTACTATTTATGTAAAATTTCAGAAAGCCTAGGTTAAACCTATCTAATATCAGTAAAAAGGGTAATGTTTATTATAAGTTAATATGGACTCGACATAAAATATTCAAATTTATGTCTTAAAAACCTATCATGACTCTTCAGAAAGGAACAAGTAGCTTATTAACAAACTTCAACATACTTCTATTTGGAGTTAGTATAGTTTTTTTTGAAATTGTGTATTTAATGTCTAAATGCTAATCATTTCACCTGATGCGTTTATTGTTCAGTAAGATAAGAGTCGCATTAATTTTGCCCCTCACAGGAATGCACTTAAATAATTACACCAGCCTTGTCATGGATGCTGCTTTGAAGAACAAAGATGGTAGAAATATCTTACATTCTGGAATATTTACATACTCTCATTTGTCCTACTTATTTATGAGCCTGAATACATAAAGGATGATTATACTAAGACACTGAAGGGTATTTCAAATTACAACCACTATATATCTTTTCTTCCCATGAGGATGTTTTTATTATCTTCACTATGTCCTTGTTATCTGAACTGAAACTGACTTTTAAGTTTGGTTCTAAATTAGTTGCCACAAGCCGAGATATTTTATTTCAAATAAATATTGTTACATAGCTTTGAGATCTTTGGAAATGAAAGATTTATTTTCAGGCTTAGGACTATTCCAAAGATTGCTGAATGTAAATTAGTGTTATAACCCAACTTACTGGCTAAAATTGTTCAGTAAAAGTCCTGGTCTTACTAGTAAATTCCAGTTAACTCTAAATGTAACTGAAGACAATTCATTTAATAACTTTCTTCTCTAGCTGTTATACTCAATTTTACTTTGTTCAAGGTGGGTCTTTATGCATGGTCTGCTTTGGAGAAAAAGCGATGTTTATATCTCCCATCTTTGTGACTAGTTAACTTCTTGTTCAGTTTGTTTTTAATACTAGTGAGAGACAGGACGAGCTGGATTTCCTAGGCCGACTAAGAATCCCTAAGCCTAGCTGGGAAGGTGACCGCTTCTACCTTTAAACACAGGGCTTGCAACTTAGCTCACACCCGATGAATCGGATAGTAAAGAGACCTCACTAAAATGCTAATTTGGCAAAAACAGGAGGTAAAGAAATAGCCAATCATCTATTGCCTGAGAGCACAGCGGGAGGGACAATGATTAGGATATAAACCCAGGCATTCGAGCCAGCAACAGCTACCCGCTTTGGGTCCCTTCCCTTTGTATGGGAGCTCTGTTTTCACTCTATTTTACTCTATTAAATCTTACAACTGCACTCTCTTCTGGTCTGTGTTTGTTACAGCTCAAGCTGAGCTTTCACTCTCTGTCCACCACTGCTGTTTGCCACTGCCGCAGACACGCGCTGACTTCCATCCCTTCGGATCCGGCAGGGTGTCCTCTGTGCTCCTGATCCAGTGAGGTGCCCATTGCTGCTCCCGATCCGACTAAAGGCTTGCCATTGTTCCTGCATGGCTAAGTGCCCAGGTTCGTTCTAATCGAGCTGAACACTAGTCACTGGGTTCCACGGTTCTCTTCCATGACCCACGGCTTCTAATAGAGCTAACAGAGCTGTAACACTCACCGCATGGCCCAAGATTCCATTCCTTTGAATCCGTGAGGCCAGGAACCCCAGGTCAGCTACCACCAGGCTAGCCACCATCTTGGAAACAGCTTGCGGCCATTTTGGAAGCGTCCCATTACCGTCTTGGTAGCTCTGGGAGCAAGGACCCCCAGTAACATGAGGACTCACACAGACTAGTAAGGCAACTTTCCATAAGGAATGACATTGCATTTTTCTGAATAATGTGGACTGGCAGATGTTGTGTGTAAGTGTTTGCTGAATCATCTGATTGAGGCATTTCTTCTTAATCATAGGTGAGGGGAGCCAGTGGCAAACTGTAAGATGTGCCACTGAGATCCCCCTTCAAGTTCAGTTCTTCAGAGTCTGCTTCAGCTGCGTGAAGTGCTTTTACCCTAAGTCTCCCCATCTTCTTCAGACCAGCCGGCATACAGCAACTGAGCAGGGTAGGAGTATAAGGGGTAGTTCATTTGAGCCTGACATGGGGCACTGAGATAGGCAATAGCAGCTTCAGAGCCATTCTGAGTAGCGTGATGAAACCTCAAACCATCCCATTCTGTCCTCCCTGAGACATGAATCATCCCTTTGTCCAGCACATATAACCATGTTGTCCACATTACTGGCCTATAATTAGTTACTTAGTAGCCAGCTCGGTTATCAGAATGACTATGGTGATATCGATGTGCTTGTGCTTAAGTAAACCTTATTTTACTTAACAATAATCCCAAAGCTCAAGACTAATAATACTGGCATACTGTCATAATTTTTTATTGTATTATTAGTTATTGTTGTTATCTCTACTGTTCCTAATTTATAAATTAAGCTTTATGATAGATATGTATATACAGGAAGAAACATAGTATATATAGGATATGGTACGACCTGCAATTCCATGCACCCATGGGGGGTCTTGGAATAGATCCACCGAGGATAAGAGGGAACTACTGTATTAAGTAATGGGGCCACTCCTCTTTGCATACGTTACATTCCAAATGCATATATTCTTTCCACTAGAGCCACAGAGCCATCAAAGATCTTCTATTATCTATATGCTGCGTCCTAGATGATGAAACACAATTCTCAGGAAGTATTGGCTCCAAACTGGCATTTTAGCTGTGCAGGCCTTTTCAGCACTCTCTCACACTGACAGCTTCTGGGTGGGTCAGTACGTCATCTCATGGTCATAGGCCCACTTACTCTTCTCCTTTACCATAAACTAAGTCTTGGTCTAATGGAATAATAATGTGTTTTGATGCCAGTGGAACCAAAACTCTGCAAGTCCACAGATAGTAATGTTTACTGTTGCTTTACAGGTAAGAATGGTACCCCCCTACTAAGAAAGTGTGTATGGCAGGTAAACACTGAGCACACATGGATATAAACACAGGGATAATAGACACTGCAGACTACTAGGGAAAGGATGGAAGGAGAGAGACATGGGAGAAAAACTACCTATTGGGTGCTATGCTCACTACGTGGGTCTAATACACTATGTAACAATTCTACACATGTACCCCCGTATCTAAAATAAAAGCTGTTTTTTTAAAAGAAAAATTGCTGTAAATAATGGAAAGAAAATGACAGGGCTAATATTTTGGGAATCTTAGAAAAGAATTATATTCAAATTACATAAGAAGAAAGACAGAGTCGGGTGCGGTGGCTCACGCCTGTAATCCTAGCACTTTAGGAGGCCGAGGCAGACGGATCACGAGGTCAGGAGCTCGAGACCATCCTGGCTAACAAGGTGAAACCCCGTCTCTACTAAAAATACAAAAAAAAAATTATCCGGGTATGGTGGCGGGCGCCTGTAGTTCCAGCTACTCGAAAGGCTGAGGCTGGAGAATGGCATGAACCTGGGAGGCGGAGCTTGCAGTGAGCCGGGACCGTGCCACTGCACTCCAGCCTTGGCGACAGAGTGAGACTCCGTCTCAAAAAAAAGAAAAAAAAAAAGAAGAAAGACAGGAGTTATTATCTTAGTCTGTTTTGTACTTCTACAAAAAAAATACCTGAAATTGGGTAATTGATAAAGAATAGATTTTTTTTTTTTCTCACAGTTCTGGGGGCTGAGAAGTTTAAGTTCAAGGCACCAGCCAGTTTGATGTCTAGTAAGGACCCCATCTCTGCTTCTAAGATGTAACCTCCAGAGGAAAGAAACACTGTTCTCCACATGGCAGAACAGTGGAGCTAAAACTCATTTCTTAATGTCCTTTTCAAAAGTATTTGATCTACCCATGTGGGCAGATCCCTCCTGGCCTAATCGCCTCATAAAGGCCCACTTCTCAATATCATTACACTGATGATTAAATTTCAGCGTTAAGTTTTGAGATAAATATTCAAACCATGGCAGTTGTCTATTTGAATTTTACCTTCAAAAACTCCGTTCACTTATATTATCATGTGGAACACCATACTTCTTTGAGTTTGCTTCTTCCTTTCTCTCTCTCTCCCTCTCTGGATATGCCTTCTCAGTGTCTCTTCATTCAATTTATTCTGTCTGTTCTTTACATGTGTCTATTATTGAGAGATCAATGACAGTTCAAGTTGCTTCTTATTTTTAATGCTTTTGTATCTCATTTTCATGCCTTTAATTATTATTGATGGACTGATAATTTCCAGGTCTCTTCTGCCAGCTCAGATATCACTAATCACAGCTGGATTTATATATACACTGCTTATGAGACATCATTCAAATCATGCTGCTCAAAAGATGACCCAAGATCTTTTTATTCTTAACTGGGGTGTGTGTGTGTGTGTGTGTGTGTGTGTGTGTACATCTTTCTATACACGACACTACTATAGTTCACCCACACCCTAAGTCAGAGACAAGTTCATTGACATTGTCACAGGCCACAGCCAATCATGTCACAGCAACTCTTAGTGAAATTGTACACTTTTGAGGCTGCTAGCCCAGAATGTGAAGCCAGAATCATGCTGTTTTTAAGTAACTACGTGATCTTGGGCAATTTGTGCAATTATTCTATCCCTTAATTCCCACATCTGCCAAATTGAAATTAAAGTAGAACTCAACACAAAGGTTTTTGTGTGGGTAAAATACATTGAGATATACACAGCGCCTTACTATATAAACACTGTATGTGTCAGCTACTGTTGTGTTAAGAGTATTATGATTGATAACATCTACTAAATCTCTCTCTCGCCTTACTGCTATTTCTCTAATTCAGAATTCTATTATTTTGCAAGTATCACTGAAAAAGCTAACTTCTCTCTTCAGTGTTGCTGTTTCATAATCCTTTCTATATATTACAGTGATTTTACTAAAATGGGAATAGAATTAAGTTGCTTCTTTAAATAAAATTCTTTAATAAGATTATATAATATATTTTATTATATGATCATTCTTGTTCCTCCTGACTAACCACCTTATTAGGGATTTTCTGGTTATTTTATCTTTCTACATAAAATTTGGATTTGACTTGACAGTGATTGCGGAAAACATATTTCTATTTTGCCATTATTTTATTACATTTATAGATTAATATGGACTGAATTGTCATCATTATGATGTTGTGTTTTTATTCCAAGACATTACATGCTTATATATTTGATAACAACTTACTTTAAGTTCTCCAATAGTATACAATTTTTCCCCTTAAAAATCATGCACATTGATTATGAGGTCTGTTTCAAGTTTTTTGCTTTGCAAAATAGGGTGTTTTCTAATTATATAATGTATATGTTATGAACTATTTATTTTTATTTTGTATTCACCTACCTTAATCATTTGCCATCATGTTTAGAGTCATTTTTTTCAGTCTTGGCTCCTGTATACTGAAAGTGTTGAATCGTATCATCTGTAAATGATGACAGTTTTGCCTCTTTATTTCTTATGCCTTGTCAAATCTTAATAGCTAGATACAAGAATATTTGCTTCTAGCTATAGCAGATGAACTTGAATATAGCCATCCGTCTTGCTAGACTAATTAGTAAGGCTGGATAAAATATGAAAGATAAAGTGTTAGAGGGCACCTGAGATCTCTACCAAGCAGCAGAGACTTGAGGAGGCAAGACTCCAGAAAGAAGGGAAGCACATAAACATAAATTAGATGTTCTGTTCAGATTTTTGCTATGACACATTTGCCAGTTGAAAGAGGCAGAAGGAGGCATCTAAAAATCTTGAAAGTCAAACTGTCTATGCAACAACATTTTGGACCTGGTGTGCTAAAAAATGAATTCACATCAGATTGAAGAAAAGCACAGGGAGATGTGAATGATATGGGCTGCTGAATAAGATGTGTCTTCAACACAATCTCCTATTAGGGCAAAATTCAAATAAAAGAAATATATTGAGATTATATAGAATTTTGATGCTGACTGGCCATGAATTCCAGAGGACACAATAAAAAAATTTTCTGAGTGAGAGGAATTGGAAGATAAGGCTATCTGGATAGCTGTATCAGGACAGACATGGCTGAGAACAAATAATTGTCTGTAATAGAACATGCAAATTCTTCCTTAGAATGTAGTAAAGGGACTCCTTTATTCATATGTGCTCCTGCCACAACTCTGAATGCATAGATTCTTTTGACTTGACATAAATGCCACAGATTTGTTTTTATTTTAATGAAGTCCAATAACAGGAGATCCACCAATAACCTGGAGGTAGCAGGTAGCTATTGAAAGGAAGTTTATGAAATTATTAGAAAATGATTTATTGAAACTTTCTATTACCCATCTCCTAGCATTCAATATCTGCCCTCATTAAACTCTACTAGTAAATTTAATAATCACCTTTTGCACAATCAAATTTTTATTATTTTGGTTGTTAAGTGGGACATAACACCATGGTCCCAAATTTTCTATATTTTAAAATGCATTTTCTTCATTTATACTTCATACCATTCTACCAATTTTCCTAACTGGTTGAATTCATTGCTTTGATTTCTGATTAATTTCTCATATTGTATAATCCTTGAGAGAAAATACGTCCTTCACACTCAAATTGTTTGTTTCCAGTGCCATATAGTTAAACCTTTCTTTTATTCGGCATGTATTTCAACCTTCCTTGTCTCTCCATTAACCACTGTCCTTTCTTCCCTTCACAATTGGTAAATGTTTTATTTTGCAAAGAGGATAGGCTAATTAATTTACTAAATATAATAGTTTTATGTAGGAAAATACACTGAAATTAGGAATATGTATTCAAAATGACATATAACAAACCCATTTTTTTCCTTATCAATGTTATCACCCAACAATGTGGAACAAAATGATGTTACTCAAAGACTTCCCATTTGTCATGTTGCTTAAAGTCATAGATTCCAAGAACTTAACAACATCGTCAAGCAAGGACTTACTGTACTTAATATACAAATAGTTTTTTTAATACCAAAATGTCTCCTTCCTTTGCTGAATGCTGATTGCATACATTAAATCTCCAGTTCCTCGATGAATGCATATTCTTTTAAAAAACAAGCTGTCATAACCTATTATAAGAGCATAGCAAATTAGCAATATACGTTTACCTCCTTTGTGATAGATAAGTGAAGCAAGTTTTGAAACCAAGTTAATAATTCTGAATAAATCCACAATTTTTTTTAAAATGCTGAAATTTTGTGTAATATTTTTCAAAGGTCTTTAGTGTAACAAATTAGTGAGATGAAATGGTAAAATGTGCCAATTCGCTTCCTACCATAGTTCACTTATATATCACTTGCATTTTAATCCTTATAGATTTTAATCCTTATAGATTTCTGAGAAGACCATTATCCTTAACAAACTAACACAAGAACAGAAAATCAAATACCACATGTTCTCATTTATAAGTGGGTGCTAAATGATGAGAACATATAGACACATAGAGGGGAACAACACACACAGAGGCCTTTCAGAGGATGGAGGGTGGAAGGAGGGAGAGGATCAGGAAAAAATAACTAATGGATACTAGGCTTAATACCTGGGTGATAAAATAATCTGTACAACAAACCTCCATGACACAAGTTTACCTGTGTAACAAACCTACACTTGTACCCCTGAACTTAAAATAAAAGTTAAAAAAAGGAAAATAAATTTAAAAAGAATATTATGTGGTCTGAACACTTATTTCTGTTAATCAAATTTCTTTGTAATCATATAATTATTTAGTACCACCCACTTGTACAACATTTATTGCATACATCAGTGTTTATAATCATTTCTAACAAATAAACTTTTTTATTAAACATTGGGTAGAATTTTATATGTATGATTATAATTTAATATACTGCATCATATATACATACGTAAGATGCAATATATCAAGTTGATATAAGCAGAGCTTATCTGCCTGAATTCATTGTGGAGATCATGGTATCCTAGATCCTCAACTTCCAATGATATCTGTTTACTCTTCATTAGCCACCACTGTAAAAGAAACAAGATTTATTAACCACTTGATGGCTTTCTATTCTAGAATATAGTGACTGCATTATCGAAATGCATATGGCATGTCATTTGGGAGAATAACCTGGTATAGAAGACAGTGTCCAATACTCAGATCAAAAGAAATGAATTTGCTTCCTGATTGTGTCAAAAATCAGTGGTAATCTGTTAGCAATTCACTTAAACTCTTTTAAGGCTTAATGTAGTCATACAACTATGAATGCATTATCAAGCGGAGTTCACATCATTTTCAGAATTGTTGTTATATTATTTTATGAACCTCTGTGTTTTGATTATATAGTTGGTAGCTAGCTGCTGCACTAAACTGTGAGAAAGAAAATGACACCTAACATCCTGAACTAGGTAAGGTTATGTGTTACTACAAGCTGACTTGATGCTCCCAGCTAGAGAACACTGTTCTCCTGGTGAACATAAACAATCTCACAGAGCATAACAACATCAGGTCACGTTGAAGGGATGATAAAGTGAGATAAAACAAGGTCACCATGTACCCCATGAAGTACTCGAACATCCTCCTCTCTCTGCTAAAATGAATTATGGCTGCTTCTTTACCTAGTCTATCCTTCCTGTAGATAAGATTTGTTGAGGTTCTCAATTATGAACTTGTCTGTCTTCCTGACAGCATCCAATCATGATCAAAGCCTGAATCCTTGGACCCTCCCCTGAATTACCGGACCAAAGCTCAAATCCTGTAATAGGTCTTTCTCTTACTGAGAGAGGCACTATGGCTTTCTTTGCTGTGTGTTTTCCTTTCATGCAAAGAGTCATAAATTCAACTTGTTCAACTATCACTGTGTTCTTGGTGGCCTTTGTCTGGAGATATTTGACAACTGAAATTTGTTCAATTTAAGTAATGCTGATGCTTTGCAATGAATGCTATTTGAAATCTGTATTAGCAGTTATATAACTTCTGCTCTAGCACTCTATGTATTTACTTCTAAAATTAATAAAATTCTGACATGTTTATAATATTCTATACTTACATGTGTTTCTCCTTCAAGATTTTAATTTGTTATGTTTCATGGTAGTATTTGTTTTAGTAATGTACTTATGTGATAGTTATTATATGTTTTAAATCATATCTCAGTTGAGTTTTTCATCCATAGGCCACATTAATCATTTTAATAAGCCATGCAGGTTATATCAATTCATTTTAATAAATAATGTGATTTAATAGTTTACCTTATTAGTATAAACCTAACTCTATTGATCTTGAAATGCCTAAAACATGATTTTTTTGTCTTTTCTTAAAGTTATTACCAATAATAAATCATATTGTTTTAATTCTGAAATAAGTATTTGGAAACTATTTCAATTTTGAGACAGTGAAATATGTTATTTTTGTGGTTGCATAATTTTATTATACAGAATTAACTGACCATATTGGATAGTTTCGATCTAATATACTCCAGTATGTCTTTTATGCTAAGTATTTAAAATGATAGAAAATATATTTTGCTCACATTGACAGAATTAAATTTGAGCAATTTTCTCTTTCTCTTTGTTTAACTGAAGATAATTGGTGCATCTACAATAGAGGTCATTGCTGTATCTTTAACATTTCATCTATAATCCTTATGAAAAGATTGCAATATTTGCCTTCCTTAATTAAGTATTCAGTTTTGCAATTTTTAAATCACACCAATAATAAGCATTTTTTAGGAAGAATGGAGTAGAGATTACAGAATTATTAGTTTTATAAGCAAAGCATATGTGAGGTAAGTACTATATTAGGTCATATTTATTTCCTTTTGACCTGAAAACTTATTGAATCTTCCTGAAGTTCTTATTTTAGGTAAAAATGGGACAAAACAAAACAATGACAAGCAAATTCTGTTCTAAAAAGCTTTAAAACTGATATCAAAATTACTCAGCTAGTAACTTACATGTTTGAGAATACAATATTATACACCCATGTTCATAGCAGCATTTTTCATAATGCAAGATGGTGGAAGTAGCCATGTGTCCATCCATGGACGAATGGAAAACAAAATGTGTTATAAATATATAACAGAATCTTTTTCAGACCCAAAAAGGGAGGAAATTCTGATACATGCTACAACATAGATGAACTTTATGTGCATTATGCTAAGTAAACTAAGACAGTCACAAAAAGACATATTGTATAACTCCAGTTATAGGGGGCACCTAGAGTTGTCCAACTCATAGACATATTAAGTAAAATGGTGACCAGGTGCTGAGGGAAGGGAGGATTAGAGAGTTATTACTTAATGAGTATAGAGCTTCAATTTTTCAAGATGAAAAGAGTTAGGAAGGTGATGTTGATGGTTGTACAATAGTGTGAATGTATTTAATACTACTTGACTGTACACCTAAAAATTGTTCAAATGGTAAGTTTTATGTTATATATGTATTTTACCAAAATTTAAAACAAACAAACAACTTCTCACATATGTTTATACAAATAAAGGGATAACTCAGCCAAGCTATTTAATAACTTTGATAAATCTACACGGTTCTACGCAGAACTACTATCTTTAGAGATTAGAAGAAAATAAAAAAATATCTCTCACAGTTTGCAATCCACCTCGTCATAGCCAAAAGCAAACTTCCTAAAGGGAAAAAAGTCTTTATACAATAATTAAGGGTTTGTTTCAGTCAAGAAGAAGACAGATCCACGCTTGTAACCTTATGTGCTTTTCACATTATTTCAGAACATTTTGTTAAATGTAAAATGCTGTAATATTTTAACAAAAAAAAATCAAAGGAAGTTTTTTACAACATTGTACACCTTAGAAAGTTCATAAATATTGTAATTTTCTTTATTTCATATAATAGTGACTACTCATATGGTTATGAATTTTCACTAGAACGTTTAGCATAAGACATTGTTGCAAACATTTTCAAAATATATCTTAGAAACTTGGGGGGATGATAAAAATTTAAGATGTTAAGGTGAAAGGGAATTTAGGTATTATCTTTTTCAAATATGCTATAGTTACAGGAGTGTTTGTCAACTATAGATGAAATATTGTAAGTCGGTGGAAAGTTTTAACCTTCCTTGGTAGTTGTCCATTCTGTCTTTGGTCAAGTCCATTTCCTAGAACATTATTTTTTTGTCCTAAAATTTACCAACTAGTCATTAGCTACATATCTAAATTAACCAAAAGGGATATCAAAAAGGAGTGAGAATACATTTTATATCCCTTGTTTGCACATAGGTGTTTTATAATTTCCCTCTTATCCCTTTTGGTTAGTCAATCCCGTCTATGTGTTTTAGACATTCCAAGACAATTATTGTGACTCATTTTGGCTATGCTTTTTCCCTTTTCAGTGTTTTTACATTTGTCACATCCTTGATCCAAAAGATTCACCCTCTCTTCCTATCCCAGCTAACACTCTTCAAACTCTCTTCCACAACCTATTATTTATTTTTATCTTTACCTTTTCATAAATTAATGTGTTACACCATAATCATTCTTTATGAATACTTGTCTTGACCATTTAATTGAAGATACCTTAGTTCAGGGACTTGTTATATTCACCTTTGCAGCCTCACTTCTAAGCAGAGTCAGCTGCCTATTAGGTAATCAAAGACCCCACTGAATAAATAAATCGGGCTAGTTCTGCCCTCTGGAACTTCCAACTATTACATTTACTGAATCTGAAATATCAGTTATTATTTTCTCCTTCCTTCTTTATCTATTTAGTGTTTAACAAATACCTATTGGGTATCTGCTACATATTGAACAGATATACAGCAAAGACCCAGAAAAAATATGCCTGTCACATGGAAATTTTTGCAGTCAGTTAAGCATATCATGTTCTCTTGATTCTAAAGCACTGTTACGAAATTTGATGCACTTAATAAACTTAATAATCACTTATATATACAGGCATATCTCATTTCATTGTGCTTTGCTTTATTGCACTTTGCAGATAGTACATTTCTTACAAATTCAAGGTTTGTGGCAGCCCTGGTTCCAGCAAGGTATCAGCACCGTTTTTCCAGCAGCATGAACTCACTTTATGTGTTTGTGGCATATTTTTCTAGTTCTCACAACACTTCTAACATTTAAATTATTATTATATATGTTATGATTATTTGGACTAGTGATCCATGACGTTACTATTGCAATTGTTTTTGTTTTTGGGGTACCACAAACCACAGCCATATAAAATGATGAACTTAATCAATAAATGTTGTGTGTGTTCTGACTGCTCTACCAATTGGCCATTCCTCTAGCTCGCTCTCTCTCCTTAGGCCTCCTTATTCCCTGAGACACAACAATAACAATTCATAATTCTCTAAGTGTTCAAGTGAAAAGAAGACTCACACATCTCACAAATCAAATCAAAAGCTAGAAATGATTGAAGATGAAGATATATTGAAAGCCAAGAGAGTCTGAAAGCTAGGCCTTTCACATAAGTGAGCCAAGTTGTAAATACAAAGGAAAAGTTCTTGGAGGAAATTAAAATTGTTACTCCAGTGGAAATACAAATGATAATAAATTAAATCAGTCTTAATGCTGATATAATTTTTTTTTGTGGTCTGAACAGAATATCAAATGAGCTACAACATTTCCTGAAGCCAAAACCTAATGTAGAACAAAGCCCTAAATTTTCTCAATTCTTTGAAGACTGACGGAGGTGAGGAAGCTGCAGAAAAAAATTTTGAAGCTAGCAGAGGTTGGTTCACAAGGTTTTGGGAAAGAAGCCATCTTAATGACATAAAAATGTAACATGAAGCAGCAAGGGTTGATGTAGCAGCTGCAGGAAGCTATCTAGAAAATCCAGCTAATGTATGAAGGCAGCTACACTAAACACTGGATTTTCAGTGTGGATGAAACAAGTTTATATTGGAAGAAGATGCCATTTGGATAGTCATACTGTATTAGTCCATTCTCATGCTGCTATAAAGAAATACCCAAGTCTGGGTAATTTATGAAGGAAAGAGTTTTAATTGACTCACAGTTGTGCATAGCTCGGGAAGCCTCAGGAAACTTACAATCATGACAGAAGACAAAGGGGAAGCAAGGCACCTTTTTCACAAGGTGGCAGGAAGAAGAAGTGCAGAGTGAGGGGGGAAAAAGCCCCTTATAAAACCATAAACTCTTCTGAGAACTCACTCACTATCATAAGAACAGCATGGGGAATCACACCCATGATCTAATCACCTCCCACGAGGTCCTTCCCTCAACACGTGGGGATTACAATTCAGATTAAAATTTAAGATGAGGTTTGGGTGGGGACACAGAGCCAGACCATATCACATACCTAGAGAGGAAAAGTCATGCCTGGCTTCAAAGCTTCAAAGGCAGTCTGACTCTATTGTTAAAGACTAATGCAGCTGGTTGGTGATTTTAAGTTGAAGCCAATGCTCGTTTCCCATTCCAAGAATCCTAGGGCCCTTAAGAATTATGCTAAATGTACTTTGCCTGTGCTCTATAAATAAAACAACAAATCCTGGATGACATCATATCTGTTTACAGCATGAGTTACTGAATATTTTATACCCACTATTAAGACCTACTTCTCAGAACAAAATATTCTTTGCAAAATATTACTGCTCATTAAAACAATGCACCTGTCACCCAAGAGCTCTGATGGAAATGTACAAGATTAATGTTTTCATGCCTGCTAAAACAATATCCATTCTGCAGCCCCTAGATCAAGGATTAATTTTGACTTTCAAGTCTTATGATTTTCAGAAATATATTTTGTAAGGCTATAGCTTCCATAGACAATGATTCTTCTGATGTATCTGGGTAAAGTAAATTGAAAAAAACTCTGTAATAGAGTCATCATTCTAGATACCATTCAGAATATTCGTGATTTATGGGAGGAGGCTAAAATATCAACATTAATAGGAGTTTATAAGAAGTTGATTTCAAACCCCATGGATGATTTTGAGGAATTAAAAACTTCAGTAGAGGAACTAACTGCAGATATGATGGAAATAGCAAGAGAAGTAGAAGTGGAGCCTGAAGATGAAAATTGTTGCAATCTCATGATAAACTTTAATGAATGAGAAGTTGCCTTACACATGAGCAAAAAAAAAAAAAAGCAATGTATTAAGCAATGTATTGAGTTGGAACTTACTCCTGGTGAAGATACTTGTAATCTTCACCAGGAACCTGGTGAACGTTCTTGTAATGACAACAAAGGACTTAGAATACTATATATTAGTTGATTAAACAGCAGCAGGGTTTGAGAGGATTGGCTATAATTTCAAAAGAATTTCTACTATAGGTAAAGTGCTATCAAACAACATTGAATGCAATAGAGAAATTTTTCTTGAAAGGAAGAGTCAAAGAGGCAAACCTCATCATCTTGTTTTGAGAAATTGCCACTGCCATCTCAACCTTCAACAACCACTACCCTCATCAGTCAGCAGACATCAGTATGAAGTCAAGAGCCTCCACCAGCAAAAAATGTATAACTCGCTGAAGGCTCAGATGAGAGTTATTTTAAATTAAGTTATGTACATTGCTTTTTTAGACATAATGTTATTGCACACTATTGATGGTAAGGTTAACTAACTGCCATTATAACTTAAAGAAAATTTGAGGTTAATTTTATTCTGAGTGAAGTTTGGGGACTAACAGTCTTGGGAACATAGACCCAGTGCAAACCAAGAGAGTACCCACAGTGGACTACACAAGACACAGTATTTATAGGTTATATTACATAGAAGATAGGAGAAGGGGGTAGTGAAACAAAGGTGATATTCTTACAGTTTTGATTGGTGCTCAGTGATGCAAGTATATAAGATAAGCAAATATGTGGTGAATGTATACAGGGTAAACAAACATGCAGGTGTCTTAGGGTCTGGAGATGGATGATTGATTCTATCCTGACTGTGCTTGTCTGATAGGCAAGGTTGTAATCAGTACATGCCAGTGAAATATTTGACAGACTCCAGCCATACAGGTGAGAGTTCAGCTTTAGTTCATAGGCCTCGTTTCTATTACCCATATGTCCAAACTGCAACCATCTCAGGTCACTTTACACATTTTTCTTTCAGATTTTCTGTTTCCTGACAACACTATATAGACAATAGTATAGCGTAAACACAGCTTTTATATAAACTGGGAAATGAAAAAAATTCATGTTACTTGCTTTATTGCAATATTTGCTTACTGTGGTTTTCTGGAACCAAACTTGCAATATCTTTGAGGTTTCTCTGTAAATTGTTCAAAAAAATACATCTTTTTTCCAAACACTAAAGTGAAAAAATATAACTTTCTTTTATATTTGGGGAAGTGTATATTTATATATATCATAGTAAAAATAATCAACATGATTGATATAAGAAAAGTATTTGAACAAGTTCATAAAGTTATTTTTACATGTAAATTGAAAGAGAAATGGTTAATAAAGATAAATCACATGTCATTTAACTTATATGTACCAAATTACCCAACTAAAAATTCATGTTTACATTAAATATATCACTAAGTATGAATAAAAATGAAAGTATACTAGAAAGTGTCCTTGCTACTTTCTCATCTGTTGGTATAGGTCAGCTAACATCAGAATGATAAACATATATGACAATTTGGAGTCTAGGCATGGAGATATAAAACAGAAGAGGTTATTATTATGCTAGGCTATAATTATTGTAGTAATTGTTTTTGCTAGAAGCGTTTTTTCTCATCATGATGGTGTTTTTGACAAAGCACCAGTAACAATGGTCCAATTAGTTATACAAAGTGTGAAAATGCATTTGTGTGGGGAAATGTGATATAGAAATTGCATAGATTGCTCAGGAAGATATTAACTGAATTTTGAGATGTAATCATCTGGTGCTCAAAGTGTTCAGTGAAGTTGTCTTACATGCTCTGAAGCAGAGCTATCACAGAACACTCCAACTATTACTTTCAATTTAGACCATCAGCTTCGGTCCATTTACTGAGTGGTTAAATCAGAGCAATTGATTCTTCTGAATCTCTGCCAGTTATATCCAATATAGTTCATCCAGGCCATGTGCATTCAGCTGAGTGTTATTTTTGGACTTCCATAAGAACTGTTCTATCATCAACTGAACAGACATAGCTTCAGAAAGAGGTTCATCATGTGAAGAGCGGAGATTGCACACCCAGGTCACAAGTGACCTTTCATTAAATTACAGACAAAATCCTATTCTAAAAAAGGCCATTGAGGTATGTGACACCTCATAACAAGGTTATTTTCCATTCCTGTATAACATCCCACAGAAGCATTATTTGTGGATGTGAATAATGTATTTTCAGTAATAAACGTTTCACAAGTCCCTATCCATTTATAACTCACCTATTTAATAATTATCTCATTTTCTCTATATTGCACAAGGGTGCCACAAAATTAATTATAATCTTTGTATCTTGTTTAATTATGATGATAACCCATGGTATGTTTTATGAAAGGGTTAAAAGGGGGTTACATATATAAAATATGATCTCTAAGAAAATTTAGATTGTATGTATCATAGTAATTATTTTTTTGTTTAGAACTAGATAGTATTGGCTACAAAAAAAGTCATTCTTCAAAAAGTACAAATAAGTTATTATTTAAATTTTCATTCTAATGACAGTTTAGTCAGTTGCACACACACACACGTAACATATATGCATTTACTGTATTTATCTATATGTAAATATATTTTTTAAAGAGATGAAAAATAGTAAACACTAAAGAAACATTTATTGCTTACTAACTGTTAGTCATTGGACTTAATATTTTATTTTTTTTTAATATTTTAATGCTTTATTAGTAAAATTTTGCATATATTCAAGAGTGTGGAAAACATATAGATATAGATATACATCTTAATTAATAATTTAGTGAATGACTATATAAAAACCCTCAACTACTTAGATTTTGAATCCCCTGTCTTGTACTGCAATACTACTGTCAGGAGACAATGCTTCATAGTTAATGTTTCTGAAACGTGAGGACTTTGTGAAGAAAGATTATACAAAGTCATATTAACCTGGTCTAGCAAAAATACAATATCTGCATCATAACAACAGTGGGGCTACTTATTAGTAATTTTGTAATAGTCTACTGTTAATCCTGCTGTTTTTTAGAAATTTGACTAGTAAATTAAGTGGGGTCATGAACCACTATTGGATTTTTAAATCTTTAATACTGACATGATTTCCTGCCACAACCCTGGGATTAGAGAATTAAAGATGGTGCTACCCTTCTCACCAGCTCATCACACACCTTTTGGTAAACAGAATGTTCTCTGGGCCCTACCATGAAATAAAGTTCATTGGCAGGATTTCTGGCCTGACTTAGTAGCTCTATGCCATCATTCCCCTTTTTAGTTTTTAGAATTTTGCTGAACGTTAACAAAGAAAAAATAATCTTATGAATTAAAAGGGGGTTTTATTATAGATCCTGCAACTAATAATAGAATTAATAGAATAGCAACAATATATATGTGCAACTTTATGTCAGTTATTTTTAAAGCCTACATGAATGGAACACTTGTTGAAACATAATTTATCAATCCTGACATAAGACTATCTGAATAGTTTTTATCGGCAAATAACATATTTCTGTTTTAAATTCAGATTATCCAACAAAGAAAATTCCAGGAAGAAACGGGCTAACTGGTAATTTTTCAAAATATTTAGGAATGAAATGATGAGTCTTACAGATTCTTTCAGAATGCAGAGAAAGAGGGTACACTTTTTTATTCATTGTATGAGGTAAAGTTAAGCTTGATACTAACATCTACAAAGGATAGTACAAGAAAGACAAGTACAGGCCAATCGCTATAATGAAAATAGATATAAACATTCTATACAAAATAGCAGATAAGATCTGGTTACATACAAATCAAATAATGTGATTTATTTTGTAAGGCAAAATTTTCTATTGAATATCACTATAACTAGTCACATTAACAAGAAAATGGAATAAAAAGACCATCATCATCTTGTGGGATAAATTTTTTAATTTTGATAAAATAATTGAATATTTTATCAAATACCATAACTAGCTATGGATAACAAATGTCAGCAAAACATAAGTAAAAGCTATTGCTTGTGTAAGAATATCTACCAAAATTAAACAACTATTATCTCATTCAATAGTGAATATTGAATGCTTTCTTTGTGATATCATTATGAAGAAAAGCACAACCACTATCTCAACTTGTATAAATATTATATAAGTTCCTAGCTGGTATAATAGAAAAAAATAGGTTAAAGTTTTTGAAGAAAAAAAAAAATAAACTGTCTCCTAGTCTCAGATGAAATTAATGTGTGAATAAAAAAATGAAAAAAAAAAAACAAACTGGTCATTTAATAAATGCATGTAGTGAGTTCTCTGTATAAAGCTTAATAAAGTCCAGCTATAATGGTGGAAACCAAGGAACTGGCTGGGATGATTTAAATGTCCTTTATTTTTAGGGCTTAGATTACATGAGGATATGCATTTGCCAAAACCCATCAAACTAGACACTTACATCTATATTTTATTATTTTCACATTACTTGCAAATAAAAACAATTTGGAAAAAGTGATAAAACAACTAAATGTAGCATGTTAATTTTAATTCTACTTCTAAAAACTGCTAATTGATAGCATTATTTTAATGTAAGTAATAAGGGTATAGCTTTCATTATACTATTTATACAACATTTCTTTACGTTTTTCTTTTACTATTAACTAATAAATTTTTCACTTTAAAATAAAGTTACCTTATGTGATTTTCATATTGTAGCATAAAGCATCTATGAAAGAAAAGAGACCCCTTTTCTGCATAGATGACCAGAAAGAAAAAGATAAAATGTCCCCAGTCCCAACAGCAGTCTTCTCATAAAGTCACTCCTGGCCACAAAACAGAAGATTCTAATGACTCCTAGAACATTTCCCTCCATCATTATGTGTGAATTCCACAGGGCACCAGAATGTCCATTTCTACTCCATTACCATCTTTGCACTGCTTTTCCCTATTTACCATCTTAGTGAAGCAGGAGGTGTATAATCAAGTCTTAAGCCATACCCTGGCAGTGTAAACGGAAACCCAGCTGCAGCAACTCCAGTCTGTGTCCAAGGCTCAGATTTGAGCCAATTCCTATTCCTATTCGTATTCCTTTCTCAATTCCTATTTTTCAAAGGAAAGCCAGGTATTCCTTGCTCAAGGAGGGTTTGAGATGGAGTTTTAAAATCTCTCAATGCATTGTTTACTGTTATATTTCAAAAAGTATAATTATCTTTGTGAAATATTTTTACGTGAAAATGAAGATTATTAATTTGATCAAGCACTTTATTATTATGCCTTCTGTTAAGTAATTACTGAAGAAAAAAATAGTAATTATACCTAAAGGAATTATATTGGTTAGTATTTATGGAATATTACCTATGCACCATGTAATGGGCCAAACTCTATTAACTCAACTCATGGATGAAGTAATTGAGGTACAGAAAGTCACAGAGAAAGTAAATTTTGGGACTGGAGCCAATTCAGAGCCTTCTGACACTGAAACCAGATCTTCTAAGTGTAATAGTCTAAGTTCTTTCTAGTTTAATATATGTTATCATATTAAGAAAGTATTCATTAATTTTTATCTTATTAGGGAATGGGTATTAAATTTTGTTAAAGGAAGGTCTTTTTAGCAGTTATGGGGTGATCATATTATTTTTCTCTTTTTATATCAATTAATATGGTGAATTACATTAATGGATTTTTAAATGAGAGTTTTAAAGAGAGAGAGAATTAATGTAAGGATCTTTTAACTGAACTTCCCAATAAATGTGAAAGAAGTTATAACACAGAAAACAGCCATTTTAAATTCTCAATGAAATAATTAACTTTGACAAGGATCCTCAGTCCTTGTCAAAATAATTGTGGGGAAAGTTTGTGGGGAAAGGAGGTCTAGAGGTCCAGAGATTCATACCAACCATTACCTGTCCACCCCCCACCTACCCCTATGTTTTCATTTTAGACCAGTGCTTGTTAATCCTCCCTGAACAGCTGAAGAGCATTTATTTTATTTATTTGTTTTTTCCACCTTTATTTTAGTTTCACGGTGTACGTGTGCAGGTTTGTTACATGGACAAATTACATGTTGTTGAGGCTTGCATCACCCAAGTAGTAACTAATGCTTCTTATTAATCAAGGGAAAGGCGTACCTTGGTAATGGAGTGTTTTCACAGAAACCACCTGAATCAAGTAATTCATTTTGGGAAAATGACAATATTTACTGATTTAACCATGGAATGGATATTAAAAACACAAGTTCTACAGCATTCTTGCAAAAACAAAACAAAACACTGAGTTGTATCAAAACAATTATTAGAAAATACTAATAGTGGAAGATACTAGTAAACAACTCACCCAGATTACTCAAATATGTCAATAATCTAAAACATAAACACAGACAGGAAAATGCTCTGATTAAGGAGACTAAAGAAGCGTAAAACCTCAGTACCATATATGATTTTTAATTGGTCTCTAGATTTGAAAAAAAGCTATGAAGGACATCTTGGGTACAATTAGGAAAACTTGATTATGTACTTATACATTAGGTAATATTATAATACCATATCAGTAATAAATATTTGGGATATAGTAATGGTATATTACCACTGTTCTTAGGAGATGCCTGCTGAAGTATTTGGGGACAAGGAGTCTTGATGACTGCAACTTTAATTTTAAAACATGCAAAGAAAGAGAGAGAGAGAGAGAGAGTATGTACCAGAATATATTGTATAATTCTTTCAAATTTTCTGTATCTTTAAACTTTTTTACAAATTGAAATTAAAAACCTATATAAAGCACTTCATTACATCCCACTATTTAATAGTAAATGTGCTTCAGACACTTTGTTCAGGTTAACACGAAAAGCACAAGCAGTGTCAGGATGCAGTCAATACAGAACAATAACAACAAGAAAACCACAATCATTGAATGTCTTCCTTTTAAGCTGTCGTGATATTTTATAAAACTGTGTGTATAGATCCGTGTTTAAAATTATCCTCACATTTTGCTTTCCCTTGTTTCTTCCTCCTTCATTATTTGTCTTAAGTAGTTTTTTCACCTTGGTGAAATAGTTTTTTCCCCCCATCAATTCTGTTATATTCATGTAAATTAAAATTCAGTTTTTTTTTCCTTTTTTTCAGAAAAACTATAGTAACTTGATTTATAGGTACATGTAAATATGTTTTAAAATTCACACTTGCAGAAAACATTTTCAGTCTTTCATTGACATCAATAAGGCTATAAGAATGGTATACTTTAAGTTATCTTTACTTCAGCTGAACATTAGCTTTCCATCACACTTTAATAGTGTTCATGGTGGGGGGTGTTTAGTTAGAAGTCAGGCCAGAGAAAAAAGCCTCAAAAAACTGTGTTTATGTAAACTTATTTTATACATTACTATATTCAGAGAATGCATACTAATGTGTAGGTATGTACAAATAAATGCATGCCACAGAGTATACCTTTCATGGGAATAAAATAAAGTTTGTTTTTCTAGATCTATATTTGTCATCTTGCACTTTTATATGGAAAGTGAATGCTCTAATGTTACCGGTAGGAAGCCGGCTGATTGTTTGAGCTTCCACATCTTAGGCAATAGTCCCGTACAGAGCACTTCTAAAATCAGTAAGTTATGCAAAAATTGACTAAAAATGGAGTAAAGACTTAAATGTAAGACATGAAACTGTGAAACTACTAGGAGAAAACATACGGGAAATTCTTCTTGACATTGGCCAATCGGTTTATGAATAGATGCTGAACATCATCAGGGAAATGCAAATCAAAACCACAATAAGATGTCATTTTATTCCAGTTAGAATGCCTATTAAAATGACAAAAGATAACAAGTGTTGCAGTGATGTGGAGAGCCCTTACACATTGTTAGTGGAATGCCAAGTAGTACAGCTACTATGGAAACAGTGTGGAGGTTCCACAAAAACTTAAAAATAGAATACTATATAATCCAGCAATCCTACTACTGGGTATATATTCAAAGAAAATGAAATCAGTGTGCTGAAGAGATATCTAGACTCCCATATTTATTACAGCATTATTCCCTCAAACCAAGATATGACATCAACCTAAGTATTCAGCAACAAATACATAAAGAAAATGTGGTATATATACACAATAGAATGCTATTTCTCCATTAAAAAAGAATGAAATCCTGTCATTTGTGACACAATGGATGAATCTAGAGAACATTATGTTAAGTGAAATAAGCCGGACAGACAAATACCTCATCATCTCCCTCCTATGTAAAATCTTAAAAGCTGATTTCATAGAAGTATAGAATAGAAAGGTGCTTAGCAGAGGCTGGAAGGAAAAGGGGAAAGGAGGGCAGGAAGAGGTTGGTCAATGGTTAAAAGTTACAGTTAGATAGGAGGAACAAGCTCTAATGTTCTATTGGACAGTAGGGTGACTTCTTTGTTAATAATAGTGTATTGCATATTTCAAAATAGCTAGAAAAAAGGACTTTGAATGTTCTCACTACAAAGAAATGTTAAATGGTTGAGCTGATGGATTTGCTAACCACCATGATTTGATGATTATACAATGTATACATGTATCAACATGGCACATGTTGCACAGATATTATGTGTCAATTAAAAATAAGATAAACTTAAGAAAATTAATGAGTTATTTGATATTTTGTGTTCAAAGGTGTTACTTGCAATCTAGATAAATAGAAACTGATTAGCTATAGAAAAATATTTTACATTATTGTATACAAATCTATCTAGATATGTGTCAGAAGAATTGAATATTTACAAAAAATGACATATAGGAAGCACTGAATTATCATAGAATGAGAGCTATCTAGACTTGCACATCATTTTCTTTTTTAAACTTTTATTTTACATTCGGGGTACACGTGCAGGTTTTTTTATATATGTAATTTGAGTGTTGTGGGGGTTTGGTGTATATATCATTTTGTCACCCAGGTAATAAGCATTACACCTGATAGGTAGTTTCTCTATCTTCACCCTTCTCCCAGCCTCCACCCTTAAGTAGGCCCCAGTGACTATTGTTCCCTTCTCTTTGTGTCCACATGTATTCAAAGTTTAACTCCCACTCATAAGTGAGAATATGCAGTATTCGGTTTTCCGTTCCTGTTTTAGTTGGCTTAAGATAATGGCTTCCAGCTCTATCCATGTTGCTACAAAGAACATGATCTCATTCTTTTTCATAGCTGCATAGTATTCTATTATGTATATGTACCACATTTTTTAATTCAGTCTACTGTTGATGGGCATGAAGATTGATTCCACGTCTTCACTATTGTGATTAGTGCTGCAATGAACGTACACATGCATGTGTCTTTATGGTAGAACAGTTTATTTTCCTTTGGGTATACACCTAATAATGGGATTGTTGAGATGAACGGTAATTCTATTTTAAGTTCTTTGAAAAATCACCAAACTCCTTTCCACAGTGGCTGAACTAATTTACATTCCCATCAGCAGTGTATAAGCATTCTTTTTTCTCCACAATACAGAATCTGTTATTTTTCTGACATTTAGTAGTGGCCATTCTGAATGGTGTGAGAAGGTATCTCATTGTGGTATTGATTGCATTTCTCTAATGATTAGTATGTTGAGCATTTTTTCATATGCTTGTTAGCTGCATGTATGTTTTCTTTTGAAAATGTCTCTTCATGTCCTTTGTCCACTTTTTAATGAGGTTGTTTGGTATTTTCTTGTAAATTTGTTTAAGTTCCTTATAGATGCTAGATATTACACCTTTGTCAGATGCATGGTTTGCAAATATTTTTCCCATTCCGTAGGTTTTCTGTTTACTCAGTCAATAGCTTCTTTTGGTGTATGGAAGCTCTCAAGTTTAATTGGGTCGCATTTTTCAATTCCTGTTTTTGATGTAATGGCTTTTGGCATCTTCATCATGAAATCATTGCCAGGTCCTACGGCCAAAACAGTATTTCCCAGGTTATCTTCCAGAGTTTTACTGTAGTCTTGTAGTATAGTTTGAAGTCACGTCATGTGATGATGCCTCCAGCTTTGTTTTTTGTGCTTAGTGCATCAGTTTTCTTTGGCTACTCAACAAATGCTAGAGACTTAAAAGTTTAAAAAATACAAGTTTATTGTCACAGTTTCCAATAATAAGGAGCCCAGATATGGGTTAGCTTAGTCCTTCCCTCCAGGCCTCACCAGGCTGAAATTGATGTGTCAGGCTGGGGTGTGATTTCATTTTAGGCCCAGGGTTCTTTTCCAGGCTCCTGTGGCTCTTGACAGATTTACTTCCTCACATGTAACTGTGGAATCCCTAGAGGGCGTGTCTTCATAATCAGCCGCAAACTGACTTCAGGTGGGTGTCCGTACTCTTTAAAGACTTACCTGATTATGTCAGACTCACCTGGATAATGTCCATTTTGATAAAATTAAAGTCAACTGTTTAGTAACTTGAGTAGAGGAATGATATTCCATTATATTTACAGGTTCTTTCTGCACTCAAAGGGAGGATACTATACAGAGAATACGCACCGGGAATAAAAATTTCACAGGACCAGTTAGAAATTTTGCCTATCCCAACAGTTATTGAAAAAACTGTAGCTCAAATAGTTACCCTGACACTAGTATTTGGTCTTGGAAAACTCACCTAAGTAGTTCCTTAGATTGTGTGTTTCAATACACTTAGTTCTAACATGGAAATATGAAGATCAGCTCCAAATATTTTTTTCCCATGAAAACCATATGATATGTTTAAATGCTCCAGGACATACTGTGTATTCTTAGAATGGACCATATCTAAATGAAATAGAGACTTGGTCTCTATCAGAATCCATACTAATGTGTAGGTATGTACAATATCAGTAATAAATATTTGGGAATAGTAATGGATTTACATGGAGTTAACAATCTAGAAAAACAGTTTTTTAGTTACAAAGATATTTAGAAAATATAACTTTCCAATGTCATTCTTAATAATATTAAGAGTTCCATGCTTATAAATATTGTTCTGTATTATCATCAACTGACATAGTTTACATACGTGTCTCTGTTCAAATCTCATGCTGAAATGTAATCCCCAGTGTCGGAGGTGGGGTCTAGCGGGAGGTGATTGGATCATGGGGGTGGTTTCTCATGAATGGGCTAGCACCATCCCCTGGGTGACGTCCTCGTGATAGTGAGTCCTTGAGAGATCTGGTTGTTTAAAAGTATGTGGCACCTCCCTGCTTGCTGTCTTGCTGCTGCTTTTACCGTGTGATATGAAAGCTCCGGTTTGGCCTCCCATCATGAATGTAAGCTTCCAGAGGCCTCTCAGAAGCAGATGTCACTATGCTTCCTGTGTAGCTTGCAGAACCATGGCTGAAGGAAATAATGTATACAGTGGTCCATTTCCAAGACAAAGTGCCTTAAATCGGCTTAGGTCAGCAAACTGCAAAAGAAATAGAATGTACTAGGCCCTTGCGTGGATAGCCAATGCCTGCTTGTTGGACTCACTGCCCCCCACCCCACCTTTAGTTGGCTCACCTGAACCAAAAAAGTCGTCTAAGATAAAAGTTTACTAGCCCGCAAAATAGCTTGTTTTGTCCATTCTTATCAGCCTGCCCAGGTACTTAGGTCATAAGTCAAATATATAAAAAGCCCCTGAGCTAACTAGGATTGCAATGCATTGTGGGCTGCAACAAAATGCAGCAAAACAACCCTAAAAAGAACACCTAAAGCCCCTACCCAACAACCAATAGGTGATGTCCGGGAAGACTGTGACCCCATAGTACTCAGGCTATGAGGAACCTGGAAAGGGACTTGCACACTAGGGGATAAAATGCTTGTTAAAAACTGTGCTGGGTTCTTTGTAGATTCTGGATATTAGCCCTTTGTCAGATGGATAGATGGCAAAAATTTTCTGCCATTCCATAGGTTGCCTGTTCACTCTGATGGTAGTTTCTTTTGCTGTGCAGAAGCTCTTTAGTTTAATCAGATTCCATTTGTCTATTTTGGCTTTTGTTGTCATTGCTTTTGGTGTCTTAGTCATGAAGTAATTGCCCATGCCTATGTCCTGAATGGAATTGCCTAGGTTTTATTCTAGGGTTTTTATGGTTTTAGGTCTTACATTTAAGTCTTTAATCCATCTTGAGTTAATTTTTATATAAGGTGTAAGGAAAGGGTCCAGTTTCAGCTTTCTGCATATGGCTAGCCAGTTTTTCCAACACTATTTATTAAATAGGGAATCCTTTCCCCATTGCTTGTTTTTGTCAGGTTTGTCAGAGATCAGATGGTTGTAGATATGTGTCATTATTTCTGAGGCCTCTGTTCTGTTCCATTGGTCTATATATCTGTTTTGGTACCAGTACCATGCCGTTTTTGTTACTGTGGCCTTGTAGTACATTTGAAGTCTGGTAACATGATGTCTCTGGCTTTGTTCTTTTTGCTTAGGATTGTCTTGGCTATGTGGGCTCTTTTTTGGTTCCATATGAAATTTAAAGTAGTTTTTTTCCAATTCTTTTGAAGAAAGTCAGGGGTAGCTTGATCGGGATCATTGAATCTATAAATTACTTTGGGCAGTATGGCCATTTTGATGATATTGATTCTTCCTATCTATGTACATGGAATGTTTTCCGATTTGTTTGTGTCCTCTCTTATTTCCTTGAGCAGTGGTTTGTAGCTCTCCTTGAAGAGGTCCTTTACATCCCTTGTAAGTTGTATTCCTAGGTATTTTATTCTCTTTGTAGCAATTGTGAATGAAAAACAACCCCATCAAAAAGTAGGTGAAGGATATGAACAGGCGCTTCTCAAAAGAAGACATTTATGCAGCCAACAAACATATAAAAGAAACCTCATCATCACTGGTCATTAGAGCAATGCAAATCAAAACCACAATGAGATACCATCTCACGCCAATTAGAATGGTGATCATCAAAATGTCAGGAAAAAACAGATGCTGCAGAGGATGTGAAGAAATAGGAACACTGTTGGTGGCAGTGTAAATTAGTTAAACCATTGTGGAAGACAGTGTGGTGATTCCTCAAATATCTAGAACTAAAAATACCATGGACCCAGCAATCTCATTACTGGGTATGTACCCAAAGGATTATAAATCATTCTACTATAAAGACACATGCACACGTATGTTTATTGTGGCACTGTTCACAATAGCAAAGACTTGGAGCCAACCCAAATGCCCATCAGTGATAGACTGGATAAAGAAAATGTGGCAAATATACACCATGGGCTATATGCAGCCATAAAAAAGGATGAGTTCATGTCCTTTGTAGGGACATGGATGATGCCGGAAACCATCATTCTCAGCAAACTAACACAAGAACAGGAAACCAACCACCACATGTTCTCACTCATAAGTGGGAGTTGAGCCATGAGGACACGTGGACACAGGGAGGGGAACATCGGGGCTTGTTGGGGGGTGAGGGGGAGAGATAGCATTAGAAGAAATATCTAATGTAGATGGCAGGTTGATGGGTGCAGCAAACCACCATGGCACATGTATACCTATGTAATAACCCTGCACATTCTGCACATGTACCCCAAAACTTAAAGTATAACAAAAAAAATTAAAATAAAAAAAAAAACCGGTACTGGGTGTTCCTGCTCATCAGACCCCTAACCTTGCAAGACCATCATTAAAAGTCTCACTTTTGCTATTTTCCAGGTCTCTGAGTCCATTCTTTGGGTTTGGACAAGTGCGTTTGTTTCTCACATGGGCCAGTTGAACCTCTTCTTTATAAATTATCCAGTCTCAAGTATTTCTTGATAGCAATGTAAGAATGACCTAATACACAAACCATTGGAATACTTTATGATCCCTTGTGGTTACTCTACATTGTTCCTTCCCACACCATTGTGGAGAGATCTTCTTTCCAACTCTCCTCCTTTTACCCACTTTAAGTGTGCTATTTGTTTTATAGAGGAATTCTAACTGAAACAACATTAAACTCCTAGAAAGTCTCAAAAAATAAGAAAGGGTTCTGTTTTCTAGAAAGAGGGAGAATCTGGTGATAAACTTATAATACAATCTTATCTGTTAACAAGAATCTTTTTAAAAGATCCAATAGTACATGAGTCAAAAGTAAATCTGAAGAATTATGCTGGTTAAATACTCAAAAATCCCAGGTAGAATGGAACATGAGAATGAGACTCATGTCTGAGGCAAAGTTTGCATAGGAATTAGTTTAGTCTCCAAACTCAGTCTTTGTGTTTAGTTGTCAGTATACTGAAAATTAAGTTTGCCAGCTCTCACTGCTTCTAGATATCCACCCACCTTTATGAAGCAGGTGGCTATAAAAGTTTTTGTATGGAACCTGAGATGTCCCAGAAAAATGCATTCCAACTACTGGATTTCTTGAAAAAAAAAAAAAAAATCCTGGCATTTCATCCACCAGGTAACCATTCATTGAAGTCCAGCATTCAGAAGACCACACACACACACACACACACACTCACACAAACACACATACAATGTTGTCAGTTGACTTTTTATTGCATGAATTTGGGAGTTAAAGTCAGAGATGTCAGATATCCTGAAGAAAGGCTTTAATGTTAGAGAGACCAAAACAAATAAATGAAACTGCCTAAGAGAGTCTGGCAGATTGGAGGGTAACAGACAATTTAGGAATTAAAGAAAATTTTAAAAGAGAAAGCAAGCAATGTTCTTAGCAAGTTAAGAGAAATATAACAACTAGAAAAATATATAAAGGAAAATAAGAAAGATATTTAAAAATATGTATTTAAATGTTCTTATAATATGAAAGATGAAACTGAGAAAGTGTTTCAGGAAGTAAAAATAAAAATATTAGAAAAATATTTTAATGGGGTATATTCCAGAATGTTCAATATCCAAATAATGGAAGTTGCACAGTTGGAAACCAGAGAAGACAATGGAGAGAATATTTTCAAAGAAAAAATATAAGAACAAATTCAATATTGAAAAGCAAGATTTTAGATTAAAAGTTCACACTATTTACCATATGCAAGAAATAAAAGGTTAGTTCAAAGCATCATTAATATTTCTAAACAATAAAAATACACGTCCTATGATCTTCTTATGTAGGGGGAAAAATGAAGGATCATATA
The DNA here is from genome assembly GCF_000001405.40 of Homo sapiens. NCBI lineage: Eukaryota > Metazoa > Chordata > Mammalia > Primates > Hominidae > Homo > Homo sapiens. The sequence continues at coordinate 18,705,949 of NC_000005.10, read as the reverse complement.
TAACAAATCAAGAATCACAATGGAATCAGACTATAAACAGCAAAGTAGAAAGTCAGAAAAAAAATAAGAAATCCCTTCAAACATCTGAGAAAAAGAGATTTATGATCTAGAATTCTATATCTAAACTATCCATCCTATAAAAAAATCTCTTGGAAAAAACAACAAAAAAAAGACATGGGGTTCAGGAAAAAAAAAAAACAACTTTGAAAATAGAAGCAATGAGAGTCCTCATATGGCTATTTTACAGCAAGCTTGTGGAGAGACTAGTCCAGGAGATAAATCTTTATGAAAATAAATGGAGTTAATGTAATATCCAGGTCTTTTAAATTCTTAGATAACATCTAAGTAAGTCTTTTATATATCTGTTGCAGTAGTTAAAGGAACTTAAACAGGAGTATAATAAGATAACTACAAAAGGAGGATATTATAAACTCCAGGAGAAAAGTTTTAATTAAATAAGAAAGAATCTTCCTGGACCAGCTGTTTAAAATATATACATATTCATAATATGCAATATTGATGACTGGTTTAATACAAAATAGTAATAGAATAATATCAGTAGAATAAGGAAAGAAAGTGGAGGGAGAATATTAAACAAGTAACTCTTCATTTACTATTAATATTATAGTAAGTAATGGATAATGCTAATTGTTATTACGATGAAATAATAATTGCCAGGGACAGTGGCTCACGCCTTTAATCCTAGCACTTTGGAAGGCTGAGGCAGGTGGATCATTTGAGGTCAGGAGTTTGAAACCAGCCTGGCCAACGTGGGGAAACCTGTCTGTACTAAAAATACAAAAAATTAGCCAGGCGTAGTGGCAGGCACCTGTAATCACAGCTACTTGGGAGGCTGAGGCAGGAGAATCACTTGAACCCAGGAGGCAGAGGTTGCAGTGAGCTGAGATTGTGCCACTGCATTCCAGCCTGGGCTACAGAGCAAGACTCTGTCTCAAAAAAAAAAAAAAAAAGAAAGAAAGAAAAGAAATAATAATAAACCAAGCTTTAGAAAAATGAAGTGAACACCAAAAGAAAATAAAAGAAGGTGAGAGTGATTATCAAAGAACCAGAGCTGGGAAGTAGAATGTGGTCAGTTTTGACATGGCTACTTTTATAGCCTTTGAATACCATTTATTGTTGGATACTATGTACATTTATCAATTTGATTAAAAATTAAGAAATGCTACTGTGTTCAGGATAAATATTAGAAATAAATAATTTAGAATTAGAATATAAATTCTAATAAATAATTATAAAGAATATAATATTTTAAAGAATATACATTTCTTTATTCAGGCACAAAACTCCTGTTATATACTTGATCATGCTAAGCTATGTAGACAGAAAATCGAATAAGTCAAAGAATAAATTAGATTCCTGTTAGCCTCAAAGATAATCCTTTTCTTAATTGTGGTTTGCTTATTTTATATTCATTTGTTGTTTCTCTTACTTCAGGATTTGTGGCTCTTCACGAAGATAAATATTTATCACCAAACAATGTAAACTTCCCACATGACAACGAGCAACTACCATCTTGTCTTCAGGATATTTTTGTAGATTTGAAAGGCAGTAGAAGCCGGGGACAGGGGCTCACGCCTGTAATCCCAGCACTTTGGGAGGCTCTGGCGGTGGATTACTTGAGGCCAGGAGGTCAAGACCAGCCTGGCCAACATGGCAAAACCCCAACTCTGCTAAAAAATACAAAAATTAGCCCAGGGTGGTGATTCGTGCCTGTAGTCCCAGACACTGGAGAGGCTGAGACAGGAGAATCGTTTGAACCTGGGATGCGGAGACTGCAGTGAGCCAGGTCCAAAAAAAAAAAAAAAAAAAAAAAAGAAAAAAGATCATAGATATTAATTAGTTCAGCAGGCTGATGTTAAAAAGTAAAACTATGGCTAAGACAACTAAAATGACAAGATCAGATATACATAGCCAGTTTATCACTGAGAACACTTTTGAGATAATAGTGGAAAATATATATTTATTTAGTACGTGCATACAATCCTTATTAGCATGCCCATAAGAACATGAGTAAATATGCTTGTAAATAAGGCATCAAATTAGGGCCAACATTTAAAATATAAAATTGTTTTTAACATTCTCCTTAATAAGGAGAGAAAGTACACATTCCAAATGTGTCTTAGAAATAATATTATTCTAAAAACATTCATTGTTATCATGTACCATTGCTTTAAGAGGTTTGTAAGATCCATTTCAGTTATGACATTAAAATAGAACAGATAATTACAAAAAATCCGAATTGACATTTCTTGCAAATGTTTTAAGCCTAGGATTCCATCAAGGTATTAATAACCAATTTATTTTAATAAAACCTTTCCATTTTCCATACATAAAATGTTTCAAATTTCCCTTCAAATAGTAACAGTGTAATATCTATTTTAAAAAATTACTGTTTAATTAAAAATTTTACCTTATATTGTTGGAATACAGGGAAACACATTTTAAAATATTATATACATAAGACACATTTAGCTCAAACACTGTAAAGAGTTTGAACAACTCTTGCTTTGTATGCAATAGAAGACATTTTAGTGAATCTACGTTGACATACAAGCCAAGGGGTGATATTAATAGTAATGCAAAATAAGATATACTTGATTTTATCATGACTCTTAAACTAACCAAAATACTTTTATTTAAAAGAAAAGCACGGAGTTTAAACAATTAATATTCACTCCAAACCAAGATTAGTACAAGCTCATGTCTCAAGATTTCTAATCTACTTAGAGCAATTTTGATAAGGAAATAAAAATCAATGATATGGTTACCCAACGAAAACCCACTTTCATAGCTAAAAAAAAAAGATATGTGCTGTTGTATAACTTAACTGATATTTTAAAATTACATAATTTATGAGAGTTACTTCCTTAAAATTATCTCTCTCTCACTTTCTGTCCTCTCTCTCCCTGTTTTGTCTTTCTTGATGCTATTTATAACTGTTAAGTGCCTAACCTAACTTCCTGTACTTGTACTGGTTTTAGGATGTGTATAAATAAATTTTATAGAGATGTCATTGTATCATTTTAAATTATGGACATCTATTCAGTTAGTTATGTTTTTTAAAGGAGATGAGAAAGAAAACACTTTCTGAATCTACAAAGTATTCTTATTTCTGATGTTACTGTCTTTATTCCATTCTGTTAATCATAGTATAATCTCTCTTTGAAGTATAAAATAGTTGAGGATCAGTTTTACGCCAGAATTTATAAGCTATCATGCTGAAATCCTCCAAACCAGTAAGCACATCATAAACACACAATGGATAATGGTAGTTTCAATGGTCTCTGAAGTTGGTTTGGATGTTAACATAGCTCCATCATCTACTGTGTTACCTAAGGTAGTTCTTAATAGCTCTGAGTCTTGGTATAGCCATTTGTAAATTATAAAAAGAAAATCAATAGCGCTACTATAATTGAGGCTATTGTGAGAATTAAAATAAAATGTAATATAAAAATAAAATACTAAAACAGTTTTTAACTTTAGTAGATGCTGTCTAAACATGTAGGTGCAATCTTATTATTCTTGCTAGATTAAAATTAGCAACAGAAACTGAAAATCAAATAGAAGATATTATTTTATAACACTATTTTCAGTTACCTTACATGCTCTGAACATGTAACACCAGCTCTAGTTCTGTAAAATCTTAAGGATTTAATGTGAGCTACAGTATTAAAAATCACTTAAATAATGATCCTCATCCGCAGCGGAATCTATTTCATGTTTAACGAGGTATGTGTTTTGGATTTCATCCACGTCTGACAAAGCAGAGGCATGGGCATCAGTGTGTTTTGCATTTTTTTGTGTGTTTTATTTACTTATATTTTTTCTCACTGAAATATCCTAACTCAAACTTGTTGGCTTTCATTAATACTTATGTTTATAACAATGTATTGTAATCTCTACCCCCAACAAACACACACATTTAAAATGTGAGGTTAGTATTAAAATTGGATGTTTGTACTGAAACACATTATATACTTCCCAAACTATGTGTCTTTATAACACAGATGTTAATTAGAATAAATATGAATATTAAAATGTTACCGAAAGGAAGATAGTAAATTCATTTTCTTCATTTATTCTTCCCTATTCATGTGTCAGAGAAAGTTCTCAAACATTGGGTCATATTTTGCAGAAAGAAGGACATTTTCCTAGAGTACTAATGAAGGACTTGAAGGCTTTTTCAGTTGGCTCTGATTTTTACCTCACCACATTGCCACTTCCCCTCGATGCTGCCAGAAGGCCCTTAACTTTACTCCTCCATTGAGTCCCTTTGGTCATCTGGGCTGGCTTGAGTCACCTGCAGAAAGCAAGCCTTCTAATCTTCACTTGGGACACTGGTAATCTGTTTGTGAAGCTGTTTAAACACCATCAGTTTCTTCCAGACTCCTTCCCTTTCACCTCTACTTGAACATATTAGTGTGTTACAATTCTTTTTTTGTTTGTTTGTTTGAGACAGAGTTTCACTCTTGTTGCCCAGGCTGGAATGCAGTGGAGCAATCTCCGCTCACTGAAACCTCCGCCTTCCGGTTTCAAGCAATTCTCCTGCCTCAGCCTCCTGAGTAGCTGGATTACAGGCGCTTGCTACCACACCCTACTAATTTTTGTATTTTTAGTAGAGACGGGGTTTCACCATGATGGCCAGGCTGGTATCGAACTCCTAACCTCGTGATCCACCGGCCTCAGCCTCCCAAAGTGCTGGGATTACAGGCGTGAGCCACCGCGCCCGGCCTTGTGTTACAATTCTTTACCTGCCAAATGGACCCTTTTGTGAGGAAAACATGAGCAAAGAATTAGATGACCGAGTTTGGGAAGTCTGCAGTCTGATAATCTATAATCTGCAACATTGCTCCCAGCAATGTTTCATGTGCACTCAAATAGGCCACATTAGCATGGACTATCTTTTCTCTCTCTCTTAGCCTAGCCTTGATTCTTATGTCAGCTGAGCCAAGTTGTAATTCATGTACGTCACTGACAAGAAAAGGGAAGCTGGTCAGAGGTAATTAGTCCTACCTGTTGCTATAGTTTGAGGCAGTACCTCCACAATTCAGGTGCTGCCAATATGATGGTATTAAGAGGTGGGGCCTTTCAGAGCTGATAAGTCCATGAGGGCTTGTTACGTACCTCATGAAGGTGATTGAGTCCCTCATAAAAGGGCTTGGCAGAGGGAATTCCTCCCTTTTTCCTTTCCACCTTCAGTCCTATGAGGACACAGTGCTCCTCCCCTCTACAGGATTTAGTGTTCAAGGCACCATTTTGTAAGCAGACAACAAACCTGCTGGCACATTGATCCTACACTGCTTGGTCTCCAGAAGGGTGAGAAATAAATTCTTGTTCTTTATAAATTACCCAGTCTGTGGTATGTTGTTATAGCAACACAAATGGACTAAGACATTTATAGAGGCTGAATTTCCTTGTGTCTATCTTCTATATAGACCGTGTATCATCTTTGTCTTCTTAAAGCATGCAAGAGAGAAATGGATAAATGCAACTGGGCTCTTCTAATTACTGGGAGATAAATTATAACACTTCACATCTCTACTTCCCAAAATCTGGTTATCTCTTACAGGATAATGTTATATTATGCTAAAATCATAATCCTTTCCTAGAATCACCTTTGAAAATGCTACATTCTTTCTTTCTTCTTATACACCTAACAGTGTTATAGTAATTATGATATCATTTATATGGTATCTTAATAATCAACTAAATAAATTTGCTAATTATTGTAATAAAACTAATGCATTTGGCAGAAAGGAACATGTTTACATATAAGGACTTTAAAATTTTAATTTCCCTGACTGACGCTTCTTTTTAAATACATTTATTCCATTCCAATTTATTCTACAGTTGAAAGACTAAGATTAGTCAAAGACAAATTTTACCATTTCAGAGATTTATTCAAACATTTCCAAAACCTCCTTTTTCCTTAATAACCCAAATTCCAGTCCCAATTTGGCATCTGAAGTGCCTAAAAATAGCGTGTGATTATTCCACAGAGCCCTTGATCATTGCAGTCCAGAAATCTTTAATGATGACAGATGATGAAGGCATGAGAACCACAGGGAAACAGAATGGCCTCTGCATTCCCTCTCCTAAGTCTGTTTGCCTCTACAATTATAGCCAGGGTGCCATTCAAAAATTAGCTTGAACACAACCTTTAACATGGGTGATGTGTGATCCCCATCCACAACCTACCTCCTGACATTGCCTGATAATTGCTAAGACTCCATCTCATAGGTTACAGGAGCTACATAAATTTAAGATGCCATTTCTTGATTATAAGGGAGGTTTTTGGTCAAATGTAGTTAATAGCTTCACCTTTCAAGATGACTTTTTTCTCTCATAGACTGAGCAACACAGCTGACCTTATTCATATAATAAAATGCCATCCTGTCACATAAGCTTGCAAACATTCCAAAACAAGCTCATTAGCAAATAATGATGCCAAAAGAGTAACTTTTTAAATGTCAATAAATACATTTTACATCCTTCAGATAATCTGTGAAACGTAACAGATAATTACCAGAGCTATGCCTTTCTCTGCAAAGTTTTGAAAAATTCTGTGAAATTTAAGTTATATTTAAAACGTAAAGCACATCAATGATTCTTTTTCTCCCAGTATGAAAGATTTTTAATGAGATTCTAAACCTAAGTGACCTATTTACACAAACTCAACTGCTAGATAATGAGAATGAGAAGGTGGTAAAAATTTCAGTAATATAACCTCTAATTCAAACCTTAAGTATGTCTTCAAAATACCTCAGAAATACTTCCTACTCAAGTCTACACACACACATGCACACCCACACATGCACACACATCATTCAAGACAGGAATATTGAAAAAAAAATCACCATTGTTAAAATGTCATCTATTCTGTGTACCATCGACCTTGAAATGTGTGGGCGGCAAGCCACCCGGGTGCCAAGGCAAGATACTGAAGGCACAAGCTGTTCCAGTATAATAAAGAAAATATACAAAATAAGAAGAGTTATAATAGAAATATAGATATGATTATATATGAATATTATTAATCATCAGTTTGTAGCATTACTCTTTATTCCAATATTATAATAATCCTTGCTCTACAATTATAACCTAGGAAAAACCAGGCCATACAGAGATAGGAGCTGAAGGGGCATGGTGAGAAGTGACCAGAAGATGAGTGTGAGCCCTCTGTCATGCCTGGATAGGGCCACTAGAGGGCTCCTTGGTCTAGCGGTAACGCCAGTGCCTGGGAAGGCAGCCGTTACTTAGCCGACCAAGAAAGGGAGTCTCCCTCTCTCCTGGGGAGTTAGAGAAGACTCTGCTCCACCACCTCCTGTGGAAGGCCTGACATCAGTCAGGCCCGCCCACAGCCATCGGGAGGCCTAAATGTCTCACTGTGATGCTGTGCTTCAGCGGTCACGCTCCTGTTTCACTTTCATGTTCCACCCTATACATCTGGTTCTGCCTTCAAGCAGTAGCAGAATTAGTGAAAGTACTAAAAAAGCCTTTGAAATGCATAGAATAATGGCCTAAGCTGTCCTCTCCGCCTTGGCTGCCAAACAGGGAAGGGCCCCCTCTCCCGTGGACACATGACTCACGTGACCTTATCAATCATTGGAAATGACTCACACTCCTTACCCTGCCCCTTTTGTCTTGTATCTAATAAATAACGGCGAAGCCAGGCATTCGGGGCTACTACCGGTCTCCCCGTCTTGGTGGTAGTGGTCCCCCGGGCCCAGCTGTCTTTTCTTCTATATCTTTGTCTTGTGTCTATTTCTATGATCTCCCGTCTCTGCACACGAGGAGAAAAACCCACAGACCCTGTAGGGCTGGCCCCTACAAAATGCTGCATTTTGGCTACATGATATGGTTTGGCTGTGTCCCCGTCCAAATCTATCTTGAATTGTAGCTCCCATAATTCCCATGTGTTGTGGGAGGAACCTGGTGAGAGATAATTGAATCATGGGGACAATTTCCCCCATACTGTTCTCGTGGGAGTGAATAAGTCTCACGAGACCTGATGGTGTTATAATGGGAAACCCCTTTCGCTTGGTTGTCATTCTCTGTCTGCCACCATGATTTGAGGCCTCCCCAGCCACGTGGAACTGTGAGTCCATTAAACCTCTTTTTCTTTAATAATTACTCAGTCTTGGGTGTGTCTTTATCAGCAGCATGAGAACAGACTAATACACTACGTTAATGAGGAAGTGCTATAGTTTACTAGGGTTCAGTTTAGTTCAACAAGTTTCCTAAATATCCAAAAGGGGTTAAACATGGTTCTAAGCTATGGGTAAATACAAATTGCTATATTTTAAAATTGCAGGCTGGGCGTAATCCCAGCACTTTTGGAGGCCGAGGTGGGCGGATCACGAGGTCAGGAGATCGAGATCATCCTGGCTAACATGGTGAAAACCCATCTCTACAAAAATTACAAAAATATAAAAAATTAGTCGGGGCGTGATGGCGGGCGCCTGTAGTCCCAGCTACTCCGAAGGCTGAGGCAGGAGAATGGCGTGAACTCAGGAGGCGGAGCTTGCAGTGAGCCGAGATCGTGCCACTGCATTCCAGCCTGGGTGACAGAACAAGACTCCATCTTAAAAAAAAAAAAAAAAAAAAAAATTGCAATAAGCTGGCAAATATAATTGTAAATTAGTATAATAAAATGACTATTTGAAGTCTTCATAAATGAGGGAATATTTTAGCAATATTTAAGAATTATTTGAAATCAATTTCCTAGGGATGGAGATTAAAGAATGTATTCCATGAAGAAGAAACTGCATAGTGTAGAAAGGAGGTGGTTCACGCCTGTAATCACAGCACTTTGGGAGGCCGAGAAGGGTGGATCACGAGGTCAGCAGTTCAAGACCAGCCTGACCAACATAGTGAAACCCCGTCTCTACTAAAAATACAAAAATTAGCCGGGCGTGGTGGCATGTGCCTGTAATCCCAGCTACTAGGGAGGCTGAGGCAAGAGAATCGCTTGAACCTGGGAGGCAGAGGTTGCAGTGAACCGAGATAGCACCACTGCACTCTAGCCTGGGCGACAGAGCGAGACTCTGTCTCAAAAAAAAAAAAAAAAAAAAACCAGAAAGGAGGCATGGAATAATATACCTTTGAAGAAGAAAAAACAGTCTCTCTTAAGGCTGTATATTTCAAGGATTTAATCATTTTAGACAAAGATAATGCCAAATGACCAAATGACCATTATTTGCAGATGTTTTAATGGTCATAAATGTTTTCCTAGGATTTTGTAGAGTGAGAAAAATAAGTTCTTGTAGTGTGGAGCATGATACTTATGAAGACTATTGGGTATAATTGCCAAATAATACACTATTATATATTTCATCTATTTTTAACATAGTTTTATAATTTAAAAATACATCAAATGTTTGGATGTCTTCTAGGAGACAGACAGACTTGAAATTAATTCAATTTTATAAATGATTCCCCTAAGATTAATAATAATAAATGACATGTTTAAAGTATCTAAATTGCAATGTTATAGAAGCAGAACAAAGCCCTAATGTAATAGTAATCCTAGTGGGCTGTAGCAGCTGAAATGAAATGACTTTAAGCAGATTTGGATGGTTATTACCCACATGAAATCCCTTAAGTGACTTTTCCCCTACTCACCCTTTCTTTTAGCAACTTCCTCACACCCCGTGGCCTAGGACTCTAGACATGTTAAGATATGCTAAGGGAATCAAAGAGTAGAACATAGTCATAAATGGCAAATCATTTGACTTTACTACATAAAATGAAAAACTGAAGCACACTCTGTGAAATCTAACAAGTTATGCATTGTGTAAAGATAGGCATTATAAAAAAAACTTTTCCTCTTTGGAACATTTATAAAAGAAATGATATAAACATAAATGACGTCCATGCAATCAGTTTAAGAAAAATATTATAAAAATGTTCTTATTGTCTCACAACTTTGTTAGACTTTATAACTACCTCCATACTAATGAATGTCAATAGTCAGGTTATATTTCTGTTTTCATTCATTTTCTAGTATACTTCAGCCTATAAGGTACATTATAAGGTAAGTATTAGGGTCTTCTCTGTTGAAAGTATTTGTTGTGAAACTAAAATCAGATCCTTACCTAATTTATTTGGTTGCATGTTAATTCTTCCATAAATTATATAGTACAGGATAAATGTGTCAATACTGCTTTCATTAAATAATTTTAAAATTCATTTGCCAATGCAAAAAACAAAGATCTTTTTTAAAGAAAAAAAAGTTATGCAAAGAACAAAATCCATTTTCCAATAAAGATGTTAAGACCACAGTGAGGAAACAAAAAATATTAAAATTATTTGTCAATGAAAATCTGGTATTCACTATATTTTTCTGTTAATATGAATGTCTCAGCATCAGTTTTGTTGGCTCACAATATATTCATGCAATTTCACAGGATGTGGCCTACAAGTTAACTTTTATTTTTTACCAATGAAGAAAAGACAGAAATCTAATATTAAATAAAGAAATTCGTACTAATAAAACTGTGGTAATTCATTTTTAAAATATGTATTCATTTCTTTCTTGCACATTTTTCCTTTCTCTATAGTAATATTTCTTATTCATTTCTTAAAATTACTTTTGGTAAAAAAATTAAAGCAAGTATTATTCTCCATTACACTTATATTGTTGTTAGAATCTCAATGAATAGTTTCCTCTACTTTTCTATTGAATAATTTTATGTAAAATTCATACTGTTTGTGAACACATTTCTTTTAATTATATACCCAAATAATTTTTTCTTAAATATTACTGAGCTGAAATATTTAAATATTAGCTAAAATGTACTATTAGGGAATGATATCCTCAGTTAATGACAAGATATGAGCTATGTAGCCAATTTTATTTCAGGTAGAAATTATGGAAAACCTGCTCCTACTATATATTCTATTATGCCATGAAAATCTGTATCTCTGATATTCAAAATGCATCAGTAAAAAATCCAATAACAATGCAAAATTAGAATAGAATCAGTAAGGTTCTTAGAATGTGATCAAATTAAACTAGGGCCTAAAAGTTCAATATTGTCTCATATTCAAGAAGAATCACCTTAAGGTAAAAGCCAGGACCTCCACAGTTGAATAAAAGGACACAGATCAATGAGTTACATGATGACATTAAAAGACAATGATAAATCTATGTTCATTGCAACAATTGGGCCTATATGAAACCTAAAAGTGAATGTAAAATAATGTGTTTTGTTGAAAACATTATAATCAGATGTATTTGTTGTATTACTAACTGACCCAAAAGATTAGCAGACCCATTATGAAAACCAAGTAATGTTGGTGTTTCACCTCCATTGAATCTTTGAGTGCTTCTTGAGAACCCAGGTAGTGTGATTACATCTAATGTTACTACAAGTGAGGCACTGTAGCTCTTAGCTCTTGGGTCTGGCTGCCATAACTAAATACCATATACTGGGGGGCTTAAACAACAGAAACTAATTTTCTCACATTTCTGTAGCTAGAAGTCTAAGATCACCATACCAGCATAATTGGTTTCTGGTGAGATAATTTTTCCTTGCTTGAGGATGGCAGCCTTCTCTATGTCCTTACATAGTTGAGGAAGAGAGATAGAAAAAGCTCTCTTACGTCTATTCTTATAACCCTATACTGAGGACTCCACCCTCATAATTTTATCTAAACCTAGTTATCTCTTAAATTCCCCATCTCCAAATACCATGGCATTGTGGGGTTAGGGCTTAACCATATAAATTTGGGAGATGGGGACACAATTCAATCCATATAACTGATTATATTAAAATGAGCAACAGAAAAATCATTAGCACTATTTGATATAACATCATGATCTGTTGCCCCTATACTATTGTCTTTTCAAATAAATGTTTACATTGACAGTATTCAATCAAAGATAACTAAGCAGGTCTGAAAATGCACAATATGCCAAAAAATGAAGAAAAGGGGCATAAAAATCTACATTATTAAAAGATCTATAGATGCTCCAGTTGTTGCAGTTAGCTTAAAGAAACTTTGCGGTATACAGAATTTTAAGATGATCAAGTTTCCTGTCCCTGATTTATACATACAGACTTATGTTTTCAAAAATTAATCCAGGTATAGCTATGAAGGAGTTTTTGAAGATACAATCAAGGTTCTAAATCAGTTGATCATAAGATACACAGATAATCCTCGATGGGACTGATCTAATCAGGAAAACTCTTGAAAGGGTCAAGTCTTCTCTTGGCTAAAGGTCTTGGAAGTGTCAGAAAGATTCAAATTTAAAAGAAAATCATGGGAGAAATGAAATTCCTTTTGCATCATCACTTTCATCTAGGATATACTCAAATGCATATGAAATTACTTGAGCCATATCTATTTTAGTAATTTGTTGCAAAATATATCAAATGTAAAAAAGAAAAAAATTATATAGTTATTTTAGTTATACCCATGTCATCACCAAAGAGAATTTCATAACTTACTGTTTTGGAGTTTTATTTTTTGGTTGTTACTTAGATTTTTCTTTTTTTTATGTATTTTTTGCATTTGGGTGGTTACTTCTGTGAATTGTTTATTCATAGAATTTGCATATTTACCTGTGTATATTTCTTTTTCTTTATTGGTTTTACAATATGTTTATATTATAGCTATTGATTCTATTTTATATATTCTGAAAACATATTTTCCAGATAATAATATAAGCTTGTAGGGTTTTTTTTTTATTTTCTTTCTTTACTGTATATTTTTATACTGGAATGTTGAATTTTGATATAATTAGTAATCAATTCTTTACTTTCATCTTTTTTTGTCTCATTCAGAAAGTGTTCTCCACTCTAAAAATAAAATGGTTTGCTCACTGTTTAAATTAATTTTCATAAATTATAAAATACTGTTAAAATGAGTGAATTAGAATAAAGATAAATATTTTCACAAACTGTACACCTCCATGTAACCAGAATCTGAATAAATATAAGTAAGAATAACCAACAGTCAAGAGGCCCTCCCATTCTCCCCTCATCAGAGTAATCACTATCATTTATCTAACACCATAAGTTTATCTTGCTAGTTGTTGAATTTTATACAAATGGAATCCTATAGTATATATTGTGTCAAATCATAAATGCATGCTTTTCTGCACTGTCATTTGCACACTCAACACTACATATTTTGATTTTTTTTCTTATGGGTTTTCATATACTTACAATGAGGCTGTATCATTTTGATTATAAAATCACTAAATACTCTTTCAAATAAAATCTCTACCTCATTGGCATATTGTCATGTACCCAGTGCCTATCTAATGAATCCAAGTGTGTTCCAGTTGTGACTTTCAAATTTTTCTGCTCAGCCACAGCTTTCTCACAGGTGCTTCATGGTAGGCCAAGTGAATGAATTGTGGAAGACAAATGCATAGGTATAGTATGATCCCAACACGCTGCACAATGATCATCCACTGATTTCTTGGCTTGTTTTTTAAAATAGATTCCATTTTGAGAATACTGAGATGATTCAGTATATTCAGAAATACAACTTGGGCAAACCTTCTTGCCAGACCTTGATCCTGGAGGTTTGCTTAAGGATTTTGAAATAAAATCTGAATGAGACGAGAGGAAGGTTAAAAAAAAAAAAAAAAAAAAAGAACCTGTGGTTATAAAGAGAAATTTAAGATTAACTGCAAATAATTAGCAGTTTATACTTAATATAGCATTCCTATACATTATGCTATTTGTCTTAGGAATTACTATCATCAAGTGATGAATATAGAAAATAAAGCTCAGCTGTTGCCTAAGTTTCTATGATTAGATGTTGGTCCTATAAAAATTCAAACTAAGGTTTTCTCACTCTCATTTCACTGTTTTGACTTTTCCTAATAACAACAAAATATGTCAGTTAAATTGTATCTCTAGGGTTGAAAATATGATTGTTGTGATTTTATGCTATCACAGTATAGAATAATGTACTAGAATAAAGAAATTGTGGCCAGGCACGGTGGCTCACGCCTGTAATCCCAGCACTTTGGGAGGCCAAGGCAGGCAGATCACGAGGTCAGGAGATCGAGACCATCCTGGCTAACATGGTGAAACCTCGTCTCTACTAAAAAAATACAAAAAATTAGCTGGGCGTGGTGGTGGGCGCCTGTAGTCCCAGCTACTCGGGAGGCTGAGGCAGGAGAATGGCGTGAACCCGGGAGGCAGAGTTTGCAGTGAGCCGAGATAGCGCCACTGCAGTCCTGCCTAAGCAAAAGAGCGAGGTTCCGTCTCAAAAACAAACAAAAACAAAAGAAACTGCTCAGTTGAAGCAATTCAAACTTAAGGGGCAGCAGCAAACTAAAATTTGTATTTAATTCAATTATATATTAAAAAGTAAAAACATAATGGGAAATGATAAAGGTAGTAGCATGCTTTAGAAAGGCAATTGCATTTATAATCCATGGGGAGCATGTAGAGGCCATCTGAGGACCTCAATATTTCATACAAGAGGCTATCAAAGGTAATCCAGGTATCAAGGTGTTTTCTATATTCTTCTAATTTATGTTCAACAAAATAATCTAAAGATCAAAACATTAAAATGGAATGTAGATTGTTAACCTTTTCAGAAATATGTTGTGATTTTTTTTCTGAATCCTCATTCAGTCATTAAATTATTTTTATGTACTAAAATCAGCTGTAAAAACAGAAATGACTCTTATTTGGAAAATGTATTTAGAGTAAAATAATCATGGAAGAGTTTGGTTGGTTATAATATACTTTACATAAGATTTATAAAAGCTAATACTTTTTACCAACTACTTACCCTGAGTAATGTCTTGCTCTGAATAATAATAGTGAACAAATATAAATAAGTATTAATATAGAGCTCATATCTTCAGAGACTTTCATATATATAGAAAGATATGAGAAAAATATATGAAGTATCAAGAATGGGATATTATACTGTATAAATATTTTTGATTTTATAGGTGAATAGTTCAGAAGACTGAATGATTAATTTGTCATAATCTGAAATAAATGAGCATACTTAAAATTACATTTAAGCTTTTCATAGAAAATACGGGTCAGAAATAAGAAAGGATACATGTTCTATGTGCATTTCACGTGCACTATCATTATGATTTTTACAACAATGTTATATATAACATAAATATATATAAAATCAACGTGTTTATGTTCCATGTCATTTAATTTTTATTTTGCCCTATCAAGGTTTAAATCTTATTTGAGAAATATTTTATTTGGAAGCAGTAACAAGTTTATTGGAATCCAAACTGAAGATTTATATCTCCTCATATTGAAGAAAAAAGGCAATTTTTATCTAGCTTATCATCCTTTTTGAATTTAGATGCCTCTTCTTTCAATCCTTACAAATATTATAAAATATATTTTTAAAAATATATATTGGTCACAAGTAGTAGACTCTTGAAGATAAAAATGAGATCCTGGTATGCTCTAATATTTCTTTCTGCACTCAGTTGAAATACTTGATTTGTTAAGATGCTCTCTAGAAAAAAAAATTACAGAATGCCTTTAGAATATAAATGATTAAAAGTTCTTGAAAGGATACATGTTTATATTTATTATGTTGTTTGAACTTTCAACTTTCTATTAAAAAACTTTACAGCTCACATTTTGCTAGTGGATCACTAGAAAAATAGATACATAAAGATTTTAAATTAAAAAAACTAGAGCTCACAGACAAAAGGGAATATAAAATGACAGCCAAGACTAATACAATGAACAAAATATAATTGTTGGCAAACTAATATAAGCGGATGAGAGGACCTTACCTGTTATAATGGTACATGTGTCCATGTATTTAAAACCAGTAGCATTATGATATGCAAGTAATATAACAGTTTACCAGAACCATTACTGATTTATGGTGTCATAGGTTGTTTTTTTTTTTTTTTTTGAGACGGAGTCTCGCTCTGTTGCCCAGGCTGGAGTGCAGTGGCACAATCTTGGCTCACTGCAAGCTCAGCCTCCCAGGTTCACGCCATTCTCCTGTCTCAGCCTCCTGAGTAGCTGGGACTACAGGTGCCTGCCACCACCCCCGGCTAAATAGCGTTTTATTAAATACGTCTCTATTGTAAATGTTCAGGCAGCTTAATACAATTGTACTCCAAATCTGAGTATAAACAATATTTATAATGCATTTCAGATGGCTTTTTATTTTGTCCTATTAATACAATTGTACTCCAAATCTGAATATGAAATATGGAAGACTGATCTATTCAAACAATATTTTTATAATGCATTTCAGATGGCTTTTTATTTTGCCCTATTAATACAATTGTACTCCAAATCTGAATATGAAATATGGAAGACTGATCTATTCAAACAATATTTTTATAATGCATTTCAGATGGCTTCCAAATTTTGTAGCTATGTCATTCAGGAGAATGGAAGCATGCTCAAGGCAGTAGTTGTTTACTAAACACTCTGAGACTGTTGGGGATTTTGCCTTATTTTAGACCAAGCTTTTACTCTAGTTCCCCAGGCTCCTGTGCAGTACTAGAATAAAACAAATATCCAGTATATAAAGCCAGCAGTGCATTGAATTCCTTTTATGTTTAAGATTTGCCATGTCAAATTTTGAGAACATTGACAACTTTGTCTAGTGAAGTTACCAGAAAGACGTCCCAATCCAGACACCAAGCAAGGGTTCTTGTATCTTGTGCAAGAAAGAATCAGGATGAGTTTGTAAAGTGAAAGCAATGTTATTAGGAAAGTAAAGAAATAAAGAACGGCTACTTGAAATATGGAAGACTGATCTATTCTAACAATATTTTTATGATGCATTTACTGTATGTGCAAAACATTTGTTTAGTAACTCTACTTGTATCGTCTGAGTTCAACAAGTACAGAAAAAAATAGTGAAAAAATATAGGACTCGCTTTTTAATAGTTATTTTCACAGGAAATATTAATTATATTTGAATAAAAGCAAGAAATAGATTTTTTTAGCCACATATCTGAACCTGACACTCATAATTTCATTTTGGCTTTCACTGAATAATAAGAACAGTAAATGTCCTACCTGAGAGAGCCAAGATATAAGACTACCTTGGATTTTATTCTCTGCTTCATCTAAAATTTGAGGACTTCATAAATATATTTGGGATATCCCTTTCAAGTTTACTATATTGAACAACCAGAGAATTCTATTCCTTCACACAATTTTCTATTCCTACTGGTGAAGAGAGCTCCCAAGAGAAATTAGAGGAAAACAAATTCCCTTACAAACAAAAATAACTGAGGAGAGAAAGATCTCAGCAAGTGTGAAAATTTTAGTATCTACAAAAAAGAAAAAGTAATAAACTGAAAGGCATTCATTCCTTGAGAAAATGAATAAAAATTCGCATCAGAGAAACATCAAGTGGATATGCTGTAGGGAAATCGCTTGGATAAAAATAAAAAGAAATGAATTCAGTTGGAGAAAACATTTTGGAAAACAATAGGTATGAGACTAAATAATTTTATTTCACTTCTTCTTTCACTACAAAGAATAACCTTTGATCTTCAAGTCCCAGGAATTAAATGTTTTTATACATTCTGAATTGAGAGCTATTATTTCCCAGCAGGGCTTCTCTCTGTTCTCAAATGTTTTTCTTATCAAAAAAAAGAAGAGATCTATAAAATAAGGACTCTGCTACCTGTGATTTGCCTACACCTTGGCTAAGCATTGAGGATGTTTGTTTCTTTGTTCTATGCTGGTCTCATCTTTATCATTAACTTAAGGTTTTCCCCTAAGGGCAGAGATTGTTTTTTCATAAACCACAAAATGATAATTTTGTTTTTCCAAAATGTAAGCCTTTAAATGTGTGCTATGTTTATAACTCTTTAGGATACTGGAAAATTTTCAGGACATTTAACTACTTCATGTTTATAACTCTCTAGGATATTGGAAAATTGTCAGGACAATTAACTACTTAATGTATAATATAAATTTGAAATTTTAAATGTACTATAAATCAACAGTTGATATTCCTTATTGAAAATTTTCCACCTGAAATATATGTGTATAATTATCTTACATAAATTATCTCACTTTTTAATTACAGAAATATGACCATTATTCACATTTTACAGAAATGGAAGCTGAGTTTAGAAATATATCTATAACAAGGTTAATACTGATACGATAACAAGTAAAGCCATTATATACATGTATGTGTATATAAAAATTTAATGTTTTTAGTCACAAGTGGAAGCACAGTCTAGGAAAAACTAAAATTCCAAAAAAGATTAAATAATTTCAAAATAAAATTTGCTCCACTGCTCTGTGTTCTGCTGCTGCTTCTAGGCATGACATAACCTGTCATTGTCAGAGGCATGTGAGCCAAAGTGACTCCATCTTGAATAGGGGCTGGGGAAAATGAGGCTGAGATCTACTGGATTGCATTTCCAGACGGTTAAAGCATTCTAAGTCAGAGGATGAAATAGGAGGCTGGCACTTTACAGAAAAAATGACTAAGAGTTTCAACAGAAAATTGCAATATCAAAAAATGAATACAGGACTGAATCATAAAATATCTGAAATTATGAACAAGACGGGTGAGTTTAACAACATTTCAGATACCCCAGAACACAGAACCTTGCAACTTAAAGATAGGGTAATAGAAAATACCCATAGGAAAGCACAAAGGAAAAGAAAAGAGAAGAAAAGAAAAGAACAGAGTGAGAAGCATGCAAGATGTGTTAAGAAGTTCTAGCATACATATATATGGAATTCCAGAAATGAGAGACTGTATGGGGCAAAAATAAAATTTAAAAGAATAATGATTGAGAATTCTACATAAATAAGGAAAAACAACAGTCTGCAAATACAAGAAATTCAACATATGAATACAGCAGAGAAACACCAACCAAGATAAACAAATAGAGCCATACCTATGGGCAGGAAACCAAACCAAACCAAGCAAAACTGCTGACTGCCAAAGGAAAAAAGGAGAAAGAAAAGCTTAAAAGTAGACTGAGAACTTTTGTTTCAACTTAGGAAGTAGAAAGAAATAAAAAACCTTGGCTCTGAATAATGAGAATAACCTATAAAACCTACCATTCTAACCCCATAATGGGCCTGAGGATGCAGAGAATACTAAATAATGTAAATTTTAAGAGTAAGGAGAGAAAGCAAAAGAAATGGCACACGTTTGCTTTCATCCCTGGCTGAGCAGCTGGGGGAGGAGGCAGAAGTCAAAGGAGATAAGAAGGAACCAGCCGAACTCCCTATGCATTTTTAATGACCAACTGTGTTCTGACATGAAGCTGTAGAATCCTAAGGATCCACAGACGTAAATAAAATGTGCACAACTTGCCAACTCTTGGCCTTCACTGCCTAGTCTAATGGAAGTTTGTGGCCAAACTGAGACCACAAACTGAGAAAAGGTTGCTGAGGTGTGGGCCAGCATATCCTGCTGAGGACTAATTCAGGACTGCAAAATCAGGAGAAACCTGGAGAGAGTACATAAGGCTGGAGCAGAAGTAGATCTGAAGGAGAGCCACACTGCGGCACAGGTGCAGAGGCATGAAGAGGGCTGAGGGCAGCGAGGGAATGCTAAGAAAAGCCTTCAGAGGAAATCTGGACACAGCTCTCCAAGGCTACGGAAAGGGAAACAATAAAATATGCTACTAAAATAATAAAAGAGGCATATTTCTAAAAAAATTATAATGTATCCATCTGATAGAAGAATAATCTAGTATCTATCTAGTATCTATTAATTAAATTCAGTACAAAAAGCTCCTAGCAAAAAAAAAAAAAAAAAAAAAAAAAAAAAAAAATCAAGGCACAGATGACATATTTAGTAAAGAAAAAAAAAAGCTATTGGCTTCTTCTTGAGGCCATAATAGCCTTAATTCAAAAACTTTATAAGCGCATTCAAGACAGCAAAATTTTAGACCAATCTTTCTCAAGAAGCAAGATTAAAAAGTTTGCAAAATATAAATAAATGGAACATTGATATGTATGAAAAGGCCAATATATCTTAGCCAAGTGGTATTTATTTTGTTATTTTTTAATTAAAGCTTTATTCCATTAGTGTTTAAAAAAATCAAAATACTACATTTATTAATAGTGAGGTCACCATAAATTTAGGCAGGTCATATGACTGGAGTAGATATTCAAAATACAAATATTACCCAGAGGACTTTTACCCTGAATACATCTTAATCTAAATATGTACAGAAAAATATTATATGATCACTTTAATATGTGTTGGAAAAGAGCATTGAATTTTTTTTAAAAATTGTATAATTAAAAATTATATTTAGCAAAATGTATCTCCTACAAACATTAAATGAATGAATAAATGAATAAAGAAGCAAATAAATAAATAAATGCAACTATCACAAACATCATTCTCTAAGCTGAACTATTGGCAGTTTCAGCCTACAATTAGACACAAGGCAAGTGTGAAAATACAAAGGTATAAGGATCATTTGCAAATAAAATAATAATGTACCTACCATTCTATCTGGATTAACCTGTTCTAGCAAGATCTCTGTATTCAAGGTAGACAAAATAAGTTTTATTATTATCTGCCAGCAGAAAACAAATGGAAATGAAATGTAAAAAATACATGTATTTACAATAGCATTAAGAAGACACTGCAAACAAGAATAATTAGAAGTCTACCTTTAAAATGAAATTATGTTATTGAAGAAGATAAAGACTAAAATCAGTGGAGAGATTTACCTTAATCATGAATTGACTGTTGTAAACATTTCCGTTTTAAATAAATTCATCTATAAACTTGATATATCAAGCAAAATTTCATTGAGAGTTAACCATTTTATTCTGTAATTATTATAAGTGCAAGGACTTAAATATATTCAAGATGATTAAAGCACAAATCTGGAGGATTTATAATACCAATTGACCTATTGTAAAGCTAGATTACTATTACAGTATGATCGTGCAGTTATATATTGACCAATGGCACAGAAAAGAGTACATGAAGAAAACAATGCTGTAAAGTCATACACTGAAACACAATAAAGATAGCATATTCTTCCTAATAAATGGTACCAAATTAGTTTGATATCCAGTACTTCTTTTCTTCAGTGATGGACTACACAAGGAAGGAATTGGAAGGGAACAATGGTACCATAGTCCTGGAAGACACAAACAAAAACAAAACAAAGCAAACAAAAACTGAAACTTATCTAAAGCCTCCTTACATATATATACAATATATTGGTTTCAAGATTTGTTCCTCTATGATAGATAATCCATACTTTATGCACGATGACCCCTTTTTGGAATATAATTTTTGTAAAATTATTTATGTCTTGCCTGTAGACTTGTGGGGTTAGACAAAAATATCTATTTCAAATTTCAAATCGCATTCTCAAAGCACAGAGAGAAAGAAGATACCCTAAGCCGATATCTTCTTTGTGTAACAAAGTAAAATTTAATATGATAAAGTAACTATTGGAAAATATTACACATATCTTAGGTTCTTACATTCAAATACCTTTTTAGATGTTTTGCTTTCAAAATGTGTACAAGAATTGTTACATGTGAATTTTACTATTGTGTTAAATTTTACTATCTATCTTCTGCAGTGGCCTGAGGTAGAAATCTACCCAAAGCTACATTGCTTTTTATTTTTAATTGGAATGGGCCACTGAGTTGACAAAATACTGTTAACCAGAATCAAAGAGAAATTTATGGAGAAAGAGCATAGCATTGCTTTTAGACAAAGTTTCTAAGACTCATTTGTTCGTTTTCCTTCTGGTCATTTTCTAATGTCACCTAATCTTCGACTCTTCCAACTTTACTTATGAACAGATGCAACATCACAGGTAGAGATGTTCCATCAGAGAGCCGAGGAAATGCATCAGTAAGCAGTGTGCTACCTAGAATCAGCATCAAATTTCTATGGCTTTAAATGATTAGAAGGTTCTAAAAGCATTTTTAAGTTTTACAAATCATGACTTTATAGTTTATGATTAAATTACCTTGATATTTTGTTGTTAAATCACTCATTTATGAATAACTTAACTATATGTTTACAATTATAGGAAGAGTGTGCTACACTAAAAGAGGTACTGATCAAATTATGCTAGAAACAACTAACGAGTTTGCCATCTTTGATAAATTAACAATTAAATTACTTTTAGAGAACGGTGTTCTAAGTTTTTATGACAAATCTTTGGATATGACATTTTAAACTGAAAACTTTAGTCATTTTTATCACAAATCCCTAAAAGTAATCTATTTAGTGAATATAAATTAATTTTAAAAGATGTTTCTAGGACTATATAGACGACAAGAAAGGAAAGGGCTCTAGAGGCAATAAAGATAACATAATTTAAGTACTTACAAATCAACATTTCAAAATACATATTGATAAAATTGCCCAAAACTTATATGAAAATAATTAGGTACAACACCCTAAGATACCTCTCCACCCATAGATTCTTGTTTTTTTTTTCTCTCTCTCTTTCCCTTTCTTTGTCTGACACACACACATGCACACATTAAACAGTCTGTTGACAGCTGTAATATTTTAGAATTAATCCCCAGTGAACCGTTTTCTGAGGCCCTGCAACCTGCATGTTTGAACCAAGCAGAGAAATATAAAAACACAATGAAAGTTTAACATGTGCTATCATTGATACAATAAAATGTATAATAATATGACAGAAAGCTTTCCAAAATTGATAGTCAGAAACTCAGTTACTTTTGAAAAACTTGAAAAGAAATGAATTCCCTGAAGGTAGGCTTTGATTTTGTAAGCACCTGAAAATTCCTTGACACCTAGAAGGCACTTAATATTTATAAAAAAATTAATGAGTAAATGAAATATTGAATAAAAGCATACAAAGAGAGATGAAGTTTGAAATGTTAGCCAACTATATTTCACATGTAACAATTCTTGCACACGTTATGAAAGCAAAACATCTAAACAGATATTTGGGTGTTAGAACCTAAGTTATGTGTAATTTTTTTAATAATTACTCTATTGTATTAAATTTTATGATGGAGAAACACTTATACTTTTCTAGATCAATTTACTGCATATTTTAGAAGTCTTTCATTAATGTTTATCTTTCTACAGGTTCTATCATTAAGAATAATTGGATTTATCTTGCTTAAAAGTAACTTATGTCATTTACTTGCTGCTTTTATTATGATAATCTCTAACCACCCAGTGACAAAATATCTGATTCACATACATATCTAAAGAGGTGTTTAAAGAAGAAAAGTAAATTGGTAACGTGAGTAGTCTGGGATGTAGACAGCAATAAAGCTATATAGAAATTATGAAACTGAACATTGCTTATCCTTAGAGTATAATTGCATAGTGTTGTATAAAGTAACCTCTTTGAAATACGAACTAGGAAAGCAGTTTTTGTTTGTGTTAAAAATAAAATAAAAAGCTGAATAGACCTCAGTGCTAGATGTCTTTAATTTTCCCCTCAGATCAAATTTATTCCTTTGCTCTGGGTACTATGAATGGACTACATTAAATAGTTCTCGTCTTTTAAGCTTCATGTTGGATTTGGTTAAGGGGCAATGTATTAGTCTACTACCACACTGCTGTAAAGAAACTATCCAAGACTGGGTAATTTATAAAGGAAAGCGTTTTAATTGACTCACAATTCAGCATGGCTAGGGAGGCCTCAGGAAACATAATCATGGCAAAAGGCAAAGGGGAAGCGAGGCTCCTTCTTCACACGGCAGCAGGAAGGAGAAGTGCTGAGCAAATGGGGAACAGGCCCTTATAAAACCATCGGATCTCATGAGAACTCACTCACTATCATGAGGACAACATGGGGGTAACCGTTCCCATAATTCAATGACCTTCATCTGGTCTCTCCCTTGACACATGAGGATTATGAGAATTACAATTCAAGATAAAATTTGGGTGGAGACACAGCCAAACCGTATCATTCTATTCCAGGCCCCTCCCAAATCTCATGTCCCTTTCATATTTCAAAGCCGATCATGCCCTCTCAATAGTCCCCCAAAGTCTTAATTCATTTCAGCATTAACCCAAAAGTAAAAGTTTAAAGTCTCATCTGAGACAAGGCAAATCCCTTCTGCTTATGAGCCTGTGAAATCAAAAGCAAGTTAGTTACTTCCTAGATACAATGGGGGTACAGGCATTTGGTAAATACATCCATTCCAAATAAGGGAAATTGGCCAAAATGAAGGGACTACAGGCCCCATGCATGTCCAAAATCCAGCAAGACAGTCAAATCTTAAAGCTCTGAAATGATCTCCTTTGACTCCATGTCTCACATCCAGGTCACACTGATGCAAGAGGCTGGTTTTCATGGTCTTAGGCAGCTCCGCCCCTATGACTTTACAGGGTACAGGCCCACTCCTGGTTGCTTTTGCAGGCTGGCATTAAGTGTCTGTGGCTTTTCCAAGCACATGGTACAAGCTGTGGACAGATCTACCATTCTGGGGTCTGTAGGACGGTGGCCCTCTTCTCACAGCTCCACTAGGCTGTAATATATTCGTCCATTTACGTACTGCTGTAAAGAACTGCCCAAGACTCGGTAATTTATAAAGAAAATTTTATTTCTTTAAAATTTAATTAACTCACAGTTCAGCATGGCTTGGGAGGACTCAGGAAACTTACAATCATGGTGGAAGGTGAAGGAGAATCAAGCCACCTTCTTCACAAGGCAGCAGGAAGAAGTTCTGAACAAAGGGAGAAGACCCCCTTATAAAACCATCAGACCTCGTGAGAACTCACTCACTATCATGAGAACAGCATGAGGAAACCGTCCCCTTGATTCAATTACCTCCACCTGGTCTCTCCCTTGATGCATGGGGATTATGGGGATTGCGAGGATTACAATTCAAGATGAGATTTTGGGTGGGAACACAGCCAAATCACATCAGGAAACACTGTGAGAGAAAGGAGGAATAATTCGAGGGAATTAAATAACCTGGATCACTTCCTGCCAGGTCACTTAAACAGTGTTGTTTGAATGCAACTTCTTCACCTTGTCTAGGAGTAGCTAAGCCTTCCCATTCTTACTAAAGTGAGGATACTACATTATCACTTCTCAATTTTATTTTTTGAGACAGAGTCTCACTCTGTTGCCCAGGCTGGACTGCAGTGGCGCGATCTCAGCTCACTGCAACCTCTGTCTCCTGGGTTCAAGCAATTCTCCTGCCTCAGCCTCCTGAGTAACTGGGATTACAGGCGTGTACCAACACACCAGGCTAATTTTTGTATTTTTAGTAGAGATGGGGTTTCACTATATTGGCCCGGCTGGTCTCGGACTCCTGACCTCAAATGATCTACCCACCTTGGCCTCCCAGAGCGCTGGGATTACAGGCTTGAGCCACCATGCCCGGCTCACTTCTCAATTTTCTAAAAGCCTACCCATTCACCTGTACACAGACAATTTATTAACTCAAGACAAATTATCCATCTTGAGTGTTCATACTTCTGCTGGAACTCTGACTGATAAGATCTCCTTCACTTTCATACATGTTCTTGTACATGGAAATCAACAGATGACTTTCATAGCCTTATACTACAATTAAGTAACTTTAATTATACTAGTAGGATTTTTATGACATATTCAGTACGTACTCTTCTATGATTTTCCAAATATTTCAAGATAGTCATGAGTATATGTATTATGTAATTCCCCTTTAAAGTTTAAATGGAGATTACTCAATCAATTGTAGTTGTAATTGATATGTTTGTTATTCATAAAAATGGAGTTGCCTTTCTATATATATATATACTAGTTTTCTTCTTTAAAGCACAACTTAAACATTCCATTTGGGTTTCTTCATGAGTGACAATTTCTTTTTAAGAGACAAACTGGATTAGCAATCTAATACTGCATAAAAACTTATCTTAAATGTAATTCCTTAAAAAATAACAAGAATTCAGTATTTGCTTATCATTTTGCAAGTTAAGCTGTTTAGTGTGGTTGTTCTAAAGCTGGACTGGCCTGAGCTCATTCATGGCCCTATATTTATTTGATTGGGACTCTTCTGGGACTAGGCAGTCAAAAATATCAATCCCATGTCAAGAATGTTGGTTCTGACTGCCAGTTGACCCTCCCTTTCTCTTTCTCTCTACATGAGGTCTCTAATCATTTGTGAGAAACTACTCTGAAATATATGATTATCAATTACTGATATTTCCCCTTTCATATAGATTTTAATTATTAGTTACAGATATTTGAAAATTACTATTGCAGAAATGCACTTATTAGGAAGATATTGGCATGTACTATTTGTATTTGACATAAATTAGATCTTTTCTATTCATCTACATATCAAGATCATGCAGTTTGATATAAAGTGATAAAAATGACCAGAAGAAATGGAAATATTTTGTAGTCATTCAAAAAATGGAAACCTAAAAATAAAATATTATTTAACCTTAGGGTGTCAGAGAAATTTTTTTTTATTTTATGTTACTGTAAATTCATATTATAACAACAATAATAATAATTTTGTTAGGAATTTCCTGTATTAATCTAAACAACAATTAGTTGAGTACTAATATATTAAACCTCTAAAAATTCGAAAATATTTGGGTCCACTGTATTCCATCATTGGCTGAATACTCAACTACAAAGATATAAGAGTAAGCCCAACAGTCATGTATAAGAATAAAGGGAAATATAGTCAAATAACTCAGCCAATATGTGGCACTGACCGCATACTACATGAGAAATAGGTTTCATAGATTTAGCCAAGGCTAGTTATTAAACAAAGAGAAAACAACAATTTTCAGGAAGAAAAAAATTATCAGAATCCAGAGTTTCTACAACAAAATATTAGAAATGTCCAGTGTTCAACTAAAATTTTTGAAATGTACAAAGAAAAAATAAAGTGCTACCCATATTCAGGAAAATATCACATTAAATAGGATTGTCTCTGAGTTTCCTCAAGTGTTGGGTTTAGCAGATAAATACTGTGAAGACACTATTATAAATATATTAAAAAGACAGAGAAGACATGCTTAAATAATTAAAGTTTGACAACAATAAATTTACACAGAGGAATTCTTAATAGGGAGAGAAAAACTACGAAAAGAACTAAATAGAAATTCCAGAGTTGAAAAAAAATTAAAATTAAAAGTTTACTGTACGTGCACAACAGTAGATTTAAGGTACCACACTAAAGAATTGTTCAATTTAAAGACAGATCAAAATAAGTTATCCAATATGAAGAATAAAGACAAAAAACTTGGTGAAAAGTTAACTGAGTCTCACAGATCTATGAGACAATTTCAACTATATCTACATATATTTAATGATGATCTCAGGAGAAAGGAGAGAGAGACAAGGAAGAAAAGTTACTGGAAGAAGTAACCATCAAAACTTTGCCAAATTTGATGAAAACTACTAATCTACACATTCAAAAAAAAAATTGAAACCTCAGGTAGGAAAAATAGAGATTCATAACTAAACTCATTATAGTCAAGTTATTGAGAGTCAAAGTCAAAGAGAAAACATTGAAAGCAGAAAGAGAATAACAGCTGATTACATGGTAGGGGAGGAGGCTGGGGGAAGGGATCATCACGTTTAACAGCTGCCTTTTTGCGTGAAACAGCATGACCAGAGACAGTGTAGTGGCGTAAATGACATATTCAAAACAATCTGTTAACCAATAATCAATATCGAGATAAATTTTTCTTCAAAAAGGAAGGTGAAATAAAGTTGTTTTTCATATTCACAAGCAGCATTTGAGTATTTCAATTTCTTTATATTTTCAACAAATATCACTGGTGGGTATGAAAAATGATACAACCAATCTAGAAAGTTAGCATATCCTTAAAACTTAAACATAAACTTACCCTATACCAACAATTCTAGTTCTAGAATTCTATCCATGAGAAATAAAAACATACATTCACCAAAAGATAAGTATGCAAATGCTTATAACAGTATTCTTCCTAATAGCCCCAAACTGAAGATAATCCATGTGTTCATCAGCTTGTAAGTCCATAAACAAGATATTGTAATATCCCTACAGTACAATACTGTATTAGTCAACATTAAAAATGAACAAAGTACATGCGATAATATGGAAGAACCTCAAAAATGTTATGGACGATGGATGAAAACAGACACAAAAGACTACATGTGATATAATTTTACTTGAATGAAATGTTCAGAAAAAGCAAATTTTTAGAGAAAGAAAGTAAATTAATATTTGCCTAGAGCACGGAGTAACTGCAAACAGGGATGATGGAACTTTTTGTGGTTATAGAAATGTTATAAGACTGGATTGTGGGGATGATTGGAGAATTCTATAAATTTACAAAATAATATATATATTTTATGAATTTATAAAAATAAATTGTACGCTTAAAGTGGGTGAATTTATAGTGAATAAATTTCAATAAAATTTATTACAGATTATTAATACAGAAAGAATGTTATATTAACCTTTTAAAAATAAACTATAATATTGCTATGATACAAAACTACAATATTGGGGAATATATTCATTCATTTAACATGGACTGTCACGACTGGTTTTTGGCAATGACCCTCTCAACAAATTTCATGTGACCAAATGTTTCTCTCTATCACTATAGCAGATAGCTTGGAAACAGAAAAGTTTCAAAAGCCCTAACAAAATCTGAAAGAAAGATACATTCTGTAATTCACCCTACTAGGATAATTGTACATAAGCTATTATTAAATATTCTTATATTTTGAATAAACCTAAATAGTCACTACGAGAAATTTATCTAAAACTATATATGTGTATGTTATTTTCAACTCAGGAATTTACAGAAAAATAAGATAACTTTATTTGGACATTTATAATAATAAAAAGTAATAGATTATTCAGTGAGTCAAAAATTGAAACTAAAGGAGGTGTGTGATTTCATATTCATTCACACAATTTATAAATGGGGACAAAGCAGGAAATAACTGTTTTTCTAACATAGCAGTCTTGAAACAGAATGAGAGCTCAAGTACATATATTTTTTTTTACTTTAAATGATAGAATTTTAGAGTATATTTGTCTGTACTAGTAATTGCCAAATTAGTCAGTGCCTCCATAGCATTGGAAGAGAACAAAGGGAAAAATAGTAACTTAGGGTATACTCTCATTCAAAAATAAGTCCCATTCAATCAGGGCTACATCTGTATACAAACAGAGAAATTTCAAATAAAAGAATTTAAAATGTGATTTCCTTTCTAGAATGGCTTCTGGCTTGATTTGAATTGCTGAATGACGAATTTTCACTCCTAACTTTCCCAGCATATGTAGAATTGACTTTTTGCTGCACATTTAAATTTGCAAGCTTTCAAATTGGGGCTCATAAATAAGAAAACTATAGTTAAAATAGGAAACACGATGTCCTATTTTCCTCATTCTTTCTTTTGTTCTAAACTCAGGAAATTTTAAGCAAAAGATTCTCAGGGTTACAGTTTTCTCTAAAGCAATAATGGTAGAGCTGATAAAACTAGGCTATTCTTCAAATCATTTTAGATTGGTGACATCTCAGGAGCCTCTGCTTGCTTCTCAAAGGGAGTAGGAAGAAAACAAACATGCGAACAATCAGTAAACAGAGTCAAACATCTGTGGGAATTCTCAGAGTGACCGAAATAATTCCTAATTACTAATAGCTGTGGTTTAGCACACATACATCTTGTGGTGTGATACATCTAGTAGGAACAAAAAGGACTTACAGATTCACCATTTTTTTCCCATAAATTCTTTTCAAAATACAAGACAGACTAAGGAAAATGATTTTTAAATCATCTTCTCTTTTAATATTGGGACCATTTTTTTGTCTTTTGTTAAATAAAACCTTGTGTTCAGCACTTACCTGGGCCAACAATTCTGTCTTATATTTCTTCAACCAAAAATATTTAATATAAAATATTTTATGGCATTACTTGGCCAACATTTCAGTAAGACTCTCTAATTAAATAAAAGATATGCATATAGAGCATAAATGGTATAAGGCATATCTGAGAAAGTGAATATTTTAAAGTTATATTAGCACATAATAGTCATCTGTAGCTAGAGAACAAATAACTTTAATAAAAGAGAACAGGATAACAGAGCATTTAAAAGCTAATGATTCATGTCTTGATCAATTAATTGTGGATATAAAAAACAAATAAAAGCATCTCACATGTTAATGTAAATAGTGTTATGGACTGAATGTCTTGTCCTCCCAAAATTCATATATTAAAATACTAACTCCCAATGTGATGGTTTTGGGAGGTGATTAAGTCATGAAGATGGAACCCTCATGAATGGAATTTGTGCCCTAATAAGAATTAACATGAGAGAGATGATTTTCATTAGGCCATTTGAGAATACAATGAGAAGGCCATTTTCAGACCAGAAAGAAGACCCTCACCTGGTAACAAATCTACTGGTACCTTCAACTTGAACTTCTCAGCCTCCAAAACAGTGAGAAATATTTGTTTCTTGTTTAAACCACCCAGTTTTTGGTAATTTGTTATAGCAGCTCAACCTAAGACAAATAGTGGTATCCTTATTCTGTATAGAATAAAAATCCAGTTTGATGGAAATTTATAGGAAACCAAATATGGGGATACATATTTACTTGTTTAACAATTTTTTCTACTAAGTGCCTGCAACTGTTCAAAAGCTATGGAATAAAATTCTGGTGAAATAGAGAGAAAATGTCAGCCACTAAGGGAGTGAAGTAAAAAAGGAAATAAAAATAAAGCCTAATCCATGTCAAAAAGCAGAACGCAAGGTGCTATGAAAACCACAGAGCAGTTTGTAATATGGTAGATAAGCTGATGAAGGACTTTCCGGAAGAAGTTACATTTAAGTTAAGACCTGAGGACATGTAGAAATTTGCCAAGTAAATTGATGACAGAGATGGAATGAACAGAATGAGTATTTGCTAAATAGGATAAAATCATCTGGGAAAGTACAGAAAAAAGGTTTTTTGATACATGAAATTAATTTAAGTCTGTTACTGGTGTCCTAAAGACATGACAAGGGGCAAACACGGAGCAGGTAATAAATGTCCCTGAAATATTTGTTGGAAAATTTTAACTTAATATTGAGGAAAATGAAAGGTTAGTGAGGAAGTTTAAGCAAAACAATGACAAGAACAAATTTTGATTTTCTTTCAGAAAGATGATTCTGAACACATTGAATAAAGAATTCTGGCCATCATTTCAATACTGTCTACTTAGCCTTGACTTAACCATGACAACGGTGTCCTAACTTGTCTTCCCATATACATTCTTGACCATATAATGTATTTTTCATATAGAATCTGATCATGAGATATCAAATGTGTATGTCCTATGTCATTTCTCTGCCGAAAACTCTCCAAGGTCTTTGCATCTCAATATCATTAAAATCCAAACATTTTTCAAATTCCTATTAGTTCATAAACAGTCTGTCAGGCCTCTGAGCCCAGGCCAAGCCATCACATCCCCTGTGACTTGCACATATACGCCCAGATGGCCTGAAGTAACTGAAGAATCACAAAAGAAGTGAATATGCCCTGCCCCACCTTAACTGATGACATTCCACCACAAAAGAAATGTAAATGGCTGGTCCTTGCCTTAAGTGATGACATCACCTTGTGAAAGTCCTTTTCCTAGCTCATCCTGGCTCAAAAAGCACCTCCAATGAGCACCTTGTGACCCCCGCCCCTGCCCACCAGAGAACAACCCCCTTTGTAATTTTCCATTACCTTCCCAAATCCTATAAAATGGCCCCACCCCTATCGCCCTTCCCTGACTCTCTTTTCGGACTCAGCCTGCCTGCACCCAGGTGAAACAAACAGCCATGTTGCTCACACAAAGCCTGTTTGGTGGTCTCTTCACACGGACGCGCATGAAATTTGGTGCCGTGACTCGGATCGGGGGACCTCCCTTGGGAGATCAATCCCCTGTCCTCCTGTTCTTTGCTCTGTGAGAAAGATCCACCTATGACCTCAGGTCGTCAGACCGACCAGCCCAAGAAACATCTCACCAATTTCAAATACGGTAAGCGGACTCTTTTTACTCTCTTCTCCAACCTCCCTCACTATCTCTCAACCTCTTTCTCCTTTCAATCTTGGCACCACAATTCAATCTCTCCCTTCTCTTAATTTCAATTCCTTTCATTTTCTGGTAGAGACAAAGGAGACACATTTTATCCGTTGACCCAAAACTCCGGTGCCGGTCACGGACTGGGAAGGCAGCCTTCCCTTGGTGTTTAATCATTGCAGGGATGCCTCTCTGATTGTACACCCACATTTCAAGGGTGTCAGACCACGCAGGGACACCTGCCTTGGTCCTTCACCCTTAGCAGCAAGTCCCACTTTTCTGGGGAAGGGGCAAGTACCCCAACCCCTTCTCTCCTTATCTCTACCCCTTCTCCACTTTTCTGGGAGAGGGGCAAGTACCCCTCAACGCCTTCTCCTTCACCCTTAGTGGCAAGTCCCGCTTTCCTGGGGCAGGGGAAAGTACCCCTCAACCTCTTCTCCTTCACCCTTAGTGTCAAGTCCCACTTTCCTAGGGGGCAAGAACCCCCCAATCGCTTATTTCTGCACCCCAACCTCTTATCTCTGTGCCCCAATCCCTTATTTCCATGCCCCAACCCCTTCTCTGCTTTTCTGGAGGGCTAGAACCCCCCACCCCTTCTCCATGTCTCTACTCTTTTCCTTGGGCTTGCCTCCTTCACTATGGGTAAGCTTCCACCTTCCATTCCTCCTTCTTCTCCCTTAGCCTGTCTTCTCAAAAACTTAAAACCTCTTCAACTCACACCTGACCTAAAACCTAAATGACTTATTTTCTTCTGCAATGCTGCTTGACCCCAATACAAACTCGACAGTAGTTCCAAATAGCCGGAAAATGGCACTTTCATTTTTTCCATCCTACAAGATCTAAATAATTCTTGTCGTAAAATGGGCAAATGGTCTGAGGTTCCTGACGTCCAGGCATTCTTTTACACATCAGTCCCTTCCTAGTCTCTGTGCCCAGTGCAACTCGTCCCAAACCTTCCTTCTTTCCCTCCCGCCTGTCCCCTCAGTCCCAACCCCAAGCGTCGCTGAGTCTTTCTAATCTTCCTTTTCTACAGACCCATCTGACCTCTCCCCTCCTCACCAGCCCAAGCTAGGTCCCAATTCTTCCTCAGCCTCAGCCCCTCCACCCTGTAATCTTTTTATCGCCTCCCCTCCTCACACCTGGTCCGGCTTACAGTTTCGTTCTGTGACTAGCCCTCCCCCACTACCCAGCAATTTACTCTTAAAAAGGTGGCTGGAGCCAAAGGCATAGTCAAGGTTAATGCTGCTTTTTCTTTATCCCAAATCAGATAGCGTGTAGGCTCTTTTTCATCAAATATAAAAACCCAGCCCAGTTCATGTCTCCTTCGGCAGCAACCCTGAGAGGCTTTACAACCCTAGACCCTAAAAGGTCAAAAGGCCATCTTATTCTCAATATACATTTTATTACCCAATCTGCTCCCAACATTAAATAAAACTCCAAAAATTAAATTCCGGCCCTCAAGCCCCACAACAGGACTTAATTAACCTCACCTTCAAGGTGTACAATCATAGAAAAAAGTTGCAATTCCTTGCCTCCACTGTGAGACAAACCCCAGCCACATCTCCAGCACACAAGAACATCCAAACGCCTGAACCGCAGCGGCCAGGCGTTCCTCCAGAACCTCCTCCCACAGGAGCTTGCTACACATGCCGGAAATCTGGCCACTGGGCCAAGGAATGCCCACAGCCCGGGATTCCTCCTAAGCCGCGTCCCATCTGTGTGGGACCCCACTGAAAATCAGATTGTTCAACTCACCTGGCTGCCACTCCCAGAGCCCGTGGAACTCTCGCCCAAGGCTGTCTGACTGACTCCTTCCCAGATCTTCTTGGCTTAGCTGCTGAAGACTGACACTGCCGGATCGCCTTGGAAGCCCCCTAGACCATCACGGACACCGAGCTTCGGGTAACTCTCACAGTGGAAGGTAAGCCCATCCCCTTCTTAATCAATACGGAGGCTACCCACTCCACATTACCTTCTTTTCAAGGGCCTGTTTCCCTTGCCTCCATAACTGTTGTGGGTATTGACGACCAGGCTTCTAAACCTCTTAAAACTCTCCAACTCTGGTGCCAACTTAGACAGTACTCTTTTAAGCACTCCTTTTTAGTTATCCCCACCTGCCCAGTTCCCTTATTAGGCTGAGACACTTTAACTAAATTATCTGCTTCCCTGACTATTCCTGGACTACAGCCATATCTCTTTGCTGCCCTTCTTCCCAATCCAAAGCCTCCTTTGCGTCCTCCTCTTGTATCCCCCCACCTTAACCCACAAGTATAAGATACCTCTACTCCCTCCTTGGCGACCGATCATGCACCCCTTACCATCTCATTAAAACCTAATCACCCTTACCCCACTCAATGCCAATATCCCATCCTGCAGCATGCTTTAAAAAGATTAAAGCCTGTTATCACTCGCCTGCTACAGCATGGCCTTTGAAAGCCTATAAACTCTCCTTACAATTTCCCCATTTTACCTGTCCTAAAACCAGACAAGCCTTACAAGTTAGTTCAGGATCTGCACCTTATCACCCAAATTGTTTTGCCTATCCACCCTATGGTGCCAAACCCATATACTCTTCTATCCTCAATACCTGCCTCTACAACCCATTATTCTGTTCTAGATCTCAAACATGCTTTCTTTACTATTCCTTTGCACCCTAAATCCCAGCCTCTCTTCGCTTTCACTTGGACTGACCCTGGCACCCATCAAGCTCAGCAAATTACCTAGGCTGTACTGCTGCAAAGCTTCACAGACAGCCCCCATTACTTCAATCAAGCCCAAATTTATTCCTCATCTGTTACCTATCTCGGCATAATTCTCATAAAAACACATGTGCTCTCCCTGCCAATCGTGTCCGACTGATCTCTCAAACCGAAGCACCTTCTACAAAACAACAACTCCTTTCCTTCCTAGGCATGGTTAGCGTGGTCAGAATTCTTACACAAGAGCCAGGACCGCACCCTGTAGCCTTTCTGTCCAAACAACTTGACCTTACTGTTTTAGCCTAGCCCTCATGTCTGCGTGCAGCAGCTGCCGCTGCTGTAATACTTTTAGAGGCCCTCAA
Source organism: Homo sapiens (assembly GCF_000001405.40). Taxonomy (NCBI): domain Eukaryota; kingdom Metazoa; phylum Chordata; class Mammalia; order Primates; family Hominidae; genus Homo; species Homo sapiens. Next base: position 18,670,901 of record NC_000005.10, on the reverse strand, counting down.
AATCACAAACTGTGCTCAACTCACTCTCTACAGTTCTCATAACTTCCAAAATCTATTTTCTTCCTCATACCTGATGCATATACTTTCTGCTCCCCGGCTCCTTCAGCTGTACTCACTCTTTGTTGAGTCTACCACAATTACCATTGTTCCTGGCCCGGACTTCAATCCAGCCTCCCACATTATTCCTGATACCACACCTGACCCTCATGACTGTACCTCTCTGATCCACCTGATATTCACATTTCCCCAAATTTCCTTCTTTCCTGTTCCTCACCCTGACCACGCTTGATTTATTGATGGCGGTTCCACCAGGCCTAATCGCCACACACCAGCAAAGGCAGGTTATGCTACAGTACAAGCCACTAGCCCGCCTCTTAGAACCTCTCATTTCCTTTTCATCGTGGAAATCTATCCTCAAGGAAATAACTTCTCAGTGTTCCATCTGCTATTCTACTACTCCTCCGGGATTATTCAGGCCCCCTCCCTTCCCTACACATCAAGCTCGAGGATTTGCCCCACCCAGGACTGGCAAATTAGCTTTACTCAACATGCCCCGAGTCAGATAACTAAAATACCTCTTAGTCTAGGTAGACACTTTCACTGGATAGGTACAGGCCTTTCCTACAGGGTCTGAGAAGGCCATCACAGTCATTTCTTCCGTCCTGTTAGACATAATTCCTCAGTTTAGCCTTCCCACCTCAATACAGTCTGATAACAGATGAGCCTTTATTAGTCAAATCAGCCAAGCAGTTTTTCAGGCTCTTAGTATTCAGTGATACCTTTATATCCCTTATGGTCCTCCGTCTTCAGGAAAAGTAGAATGGACTAAAGGTCTTTTAAAAACACACCTCACCAAGCTCAGCCACCAACTTAAAAAGGACTGGACAATACTTTTACCACTTTCCCTTCTCAGAATTCAGGCCTGTCCTCAGAATGCTACAGGGTACAGCCCATTTAAGCTCCTGTATAGACGCTCCTTTTTATTAGGCCCCAGTCGCATTCCAGACACCAGACCAACTTAGACTGTGCCCCAAAAACTTGTCATCCCTACTATCTTCTGTCTAGTCATACTCCTATTCACCATTCTCAACTACTCATACATGCCCTGCTCTTGTTTACACGGCTGGTTTACATGGTTTTCCCAAGCCATCACAGCTGATATCTCCTGGTGCTATCCCCAAACTGCCACTCTTAACTCTTGAAGTAAATAAATAATCTTTGCAGGCAGGACTATGCTGAATCTCCTTAGGCACTCTCTAATCAGATATCCTGAGTCATCCCAATTCTTAGACCTTTTATACCTGTTTTTCTCCTTCTGTTATTCCATTTAGTTTCTCAATTCATACAAAACCGTATCCAGGCCTTCACCAATCATTCTATACGACAAATGTTTCTTCTAACATCCCCACAATATCACCCCTTACCACAAGATCTCCCTTCATCTTAATCTCTCCCACTCTACGTTCCCACGCCACCCCTAATCCCGCTTGAAGCAGCCCTGAGAAACATCGCCCATTCTCTCTCCATACCACCCCCCAAAAATTTTCGCCGCCCCAACACTTCAACGCTATTTTGTTTTATTTTTCTTATTAATATAAGAAGGCAGGAATGTCAGGCCTCTGAGCCCAAGCCAAGTCATCACATCCCCTGTGACTTTCACATATATGCCCAGATGGCCTGAAGTAACTGAAGAATCAGAAAACAAGTGAATATGCCCTGCCCCACCTTAACTGATGACATTCCACCACAAAAGAAGTGTAAATGGCTGGTCCTTGCCTTAACTGATGACATTACCTTGTGAAAGTCCTTTTCCTGGCTCATCCTGGCTCAAAAAGCACCCCCACTGAGCACCTTGCGACCCCCACCCCTGCCCACCAGAGAACAGCGCCCTTTGACTGTAATTTTCCATTACCTTCCCAAATCCTATAAAACGGCCCTGCCCCTATCTCCCTTCGCTGACTCTCTTTTTGGACTCAGCCCGCCTGCACCCAGGTGAAACAAACAGCCATGTTGCTCACACAAAGCCTGGTTGGTGGTCTCTTCACATGGACGTGCGTGAAACAGTCTGCTTCTCAATTAACTCTTTGATGTTACATCTTTCCTCCCTTTTTCTGGCTCATTTCCCTTTTAACTACACTAATTCCCCCTTTTTCTTGATGTGTCACAAGTCTATCATCTAGACCTTTGCACTTGCTCTCCATACCTTCTTCCCCCACCTTCCCTTGCACATACAATTATTCCTATACTTAAATAATTTTTCTGCTCAAATGTCATCTTTTGCAGGCCTTTCCTGAACACTCTCTATAAAATATTATCCCAAGCATTCATTATTTCGTGTCCCACATTTTTAGAGCATTTATTGCCACCTAAAGTTATAGACTTATCAATTCATCAGAATGTGAGTTCCAGAAGAAGAAAAGTATATTTTCATTGTTATATCAATGTCACTTAGATGTGTTTCTGGCACATTTTAAGTGCTTAATTATTATTTATGAATCAAATTAATGTTGAATGAACTTGTCTGCTAAATTATTTGCACCTTTCTTTTTTCACTTTACATATTAAAATAGTCCAATCACAAATGCAACTAACTCATCACACCCTCCACAGCTACCACAAAAGAGCTAGAGGCTTTGTAGATCAAGAATTGTAAGATCAAGTTTCCCAACAGGATAATTTAATTATTCTATACATTCATGGCACCTAACCAGAAATGTGCTTTTCTGATATATCCACTCTTTGTTTCAGCTCAATTGTATGCATAATTATGCACAATGTCTCCAAACCCCAAATTCTTTAATCTCAGCTTCTGGCCAGTCTTACTACTTTCATTTAGAAAACATAAACTTCACTTAAAAATGCTTCATCTTCTGATCACTCATCCATGTCTCAAATCAACCTACAATCTTGTCTTCCCATTACAATATAGAAGCTCCTTTCACTCTTAAATAGTCGGAATTTTTCCACCAGTGTTTTAAGTTTCTTTTCTTTCTGCCTAATTAAGAACCAACTACAATTTATGGCATTTCCTTTCTTCACTTGGATATTCAACCACTCCTTCTCAGGAAAATATTTCTTGAAAACTTAACGTTTTTTTCCCATTAAAACGAAGGCCAGAATCTTTGTTGCATTCAACTCTTCAAATACCTCTATACAGAGTCTCAAACTCTCTCCTTATCACCACACTCTACTTCAAATATTTTTTTCCCCATTCGTCTCAGCCCATTTATCTGAGACGTGGCACCTGGTCTTATCATTTAATATTTTTTGAAAGAAATAATAAATTATTTTTCTAAATCTATTTTTTAGCTTATATTTGATGTTTTAGCAACACTTCAAACTATTAATTGCTACAATTAAGAAACTGTCAATTCAGTTGGCTTCTCTAACACATCCTTTTTTTATATATTTTCCCTCACACTCTGCTTGCTCTTCTTAGTCTACTTTTCAGGCCCATTATTCTTTTTATCACCCTAACGAGCACTTTTGAGCATCATGTTTGATCGGTTCCTCACTATTAGTTGTTTTTCTGCAAGAACTAATAGTTAAACTAACCATAAATCGCCAAACTTTTTAGGAAAACTGAGACCAATAATGAGAGATAACAACAAAGCATGTAGCAAATTACTAATATTATATTAATAATGATGTTTAAAACTAACAGATATTACATAAAAGATATCTGTAATACCTAACAATTTAAGACTGAAATATAAAACTTAAAACATAATAGTGGGGATTGATGGAAAAAATAACAAACTATAAAAGCAAGTTAGAGTATGTGGATGAATAAATATTTCCAAAATAGATATCTAAATTTTAAGGAGTTGTAAAGAATGAGAAAATGTTGAGACATGAAGTTGATCTTGTAGTTGTAATATGTATGCAACAGTAATTAAATAATAAGAGAGAAAATGATTGAAATGGGGAAAATGTAAGGAAGAAAGAGATAGAGATCAGATGGATAGATAGAATAAAATTGTTCAGAAATGTAGAATAGTATGAATCTTCCTATTAAAAAGTCCACTTTAGTATTAACTTACACTAGTTTGTGCTGTGGTGAAATTTCACAACACAAAAAAACAATAAGGAGGTCCTAAAATCTTTCAAAAGCCAAACAAGCAAATAAATAATTTCTAGCTAACTAAGATAGTTTTGAAAAGGCCATGGCAATAGGAAAAACACAGAATGACTTCAAGCTAAATAGCTAGGAGTTATTTACCAATGGTCAACTGGCATTCCTGCATTTTTTAAGAAAAGAGAATTCTATAGTGCCCAAGGGACTTCAGTTCTATCCACAATTATTAGCACTTTCTGTTACATATTAAGTAACAACCCAGGTCACATTTCATAGCCATATTTCTGGATTAAAATAAAAAATTAAATTCACTATGATTTTTTTTTTTCTTGTGGAAACGGTTAACCAGTTCTTAACAGTTTTTCTTCATCTGAAGAAATGTGATTTTGGGAAAATCACACTTAAAGGGAAAGTGATAGCTATTTACAAATTTTAATGCAACTATTTAAAAGTAAACATGCTTACTTTTTGAGGGGACTCAAAGATTTTGTGGGAAAATTGAATTCAAAGATAAAAAATTCAAATAAAAACTTTATTTCTCAATATAAGTTCCATCAAGTTCAGGGTACTTTTGTAAGCAATGATACCAGCCATTCAGTCCATCTTTAAAGAACTGAGACTCCTGGAATTTAACCAGGTTAATGTGTTTTTTATATCATTAACTGAACAAAAATGAGTGCCCTTGTAGGTTATTATTACAAAGTAAGAAGAAGCCATGAGAAGCCAAATCAAGACTGTAAGGTGGGTGCCTAATGATTTCCCACTGAAACTTCCTCAAAATTATTTTTGTTTGATGAGAGGAATGAGCAGGAGCATTGTTGTGATGGAGAAGGACTCTCTAGTGAAGCTTTTTCAGGTGTTTTTCTGCTGAAGCTTTAGCATCCCCAAAATACTCTCATTATTGCAGACGTTACTGTTCTTTGGTCCTTTAGAAAGTCAACAAGCAAAATTCGTTGAGCAACCCTAAAACTGTTGCCATGGCCTTTGCTCATCGCCAGCCTACTTTTGCTTATGACTGGACCACTTTCATCTCTTTATAGCCATTGCTTTGGTAGTGCTTTGTCTTTAGGATCATACTGGTAAAGGCATGTTTCGTCTGCTAAAATTCTTCAAAGAAACGCTTCAGGATCTTGATCTTTTTTTTTTTTTTTTTTTTTTTGAGACGGAGTCTCGCTCTGTCGCCCAGGCTGGAGTGCAGTGGCGGGATCTCGGCTCACTGCAAGCTCCGCCTCCCGGGTTCACGCCATTCTCCTGCCTCAGCCTCCCGAGTAGCTGGGACTACAGGCGCCCGCCACTATGCCCGGCTAATTTTTTGTATTTTTAGTAGAGGCGGGGTTTCATTATGTTGGCAAGGCTGGTCTCAATCACTTGACTTCGTGATCCGCCTGCCTCGGCCTCCCAAAGTGCCAGGATTACAGGTGCAAGCCACTATGCCTGGCCGTAAACTGCTCATTTCTTTGTGACATTATCCCCATAAACTTTTTGTAGAGCATCAGCAATTATACCATTCTTCTACCCAAGCTTCACCATACATTTGATGTTTGTTCTTACTTCAATTTTAGCATAATTCAAGTTGCTTTAATAGAGGCTCTTTTCAAACTGATGTCTTATTCTTCTCAGTGCCTTCAACTGGATCCTGTTTAGACATGTTATAACAAGCTAGTATACATTTATTTTTGTGCAAAAAGTTGAAATTTATGCATAGTTTTTTTTATAATACATATTTCCATAAACTTTTTGGAAACTCCTCATTTCTGCAATGGACAGATTATCAATCAATATGAATGATTAAAAATATAAAGTAGGTGCAATATAATAAACCTTTCATGGCATCCAAAACCAAGGCTGCTCTTCACAGAAATACACAAAAATTAAACCATGAAGAAATATCAGTAATTATTCAAGGTAAAAATCACAGTAAGACCTTGGAAATACAAGGCCTAAGATTTACTATGAGGAATATATATATTTCTTCTTGAATGTATCAGAAAAGAGCCAAATGTAAAAATTAATTAACTGAGGAATTAAATAATGTAAAAAATACACTTCCTGAAAAAATAACCAAATATAATTTCTAATGCATAAAATATGTGTTAGTTAAAAAGAAAAATAAGCAGGCACAAAATTACAAAATCCTAATTCTTGTACTTTTTATTTTTTTATAATTTTAATTTTAATTTTAGATATAGGGGTTATACGTTCAGGTTTGTTTCACAGATATATTGGGTGATGCTAAGGTTTGGGATATGAATAATCTTGTCACCCAAATAGTGAGCACAGTACCCAATAGGTCATTTTTTCAACACTTGCACCCCCCCTAGTAGTTTCCAATGTCTATTACTCCCATCTTTATGTTCATAAATAATAAATATTTATTTCCTACTTATAGGTGAGAATATGTGGTATTTGGGTTTCTGTTCCTTCATCAAGTTGCTTAAGATGATGACCTTCAGCTCCATCCATGTTGCTGTAAAGGACATGAATTCATTCGTTTTTACAGGTGTGTAGTATTCTGTGGTCTATATGTGCCACATTTTCTGTAACCAATCCACCATTCATTGTCACCTAGGTTGATTCCATGTCTCTGCTACTGTGAATAGTGCTGTAATGAACATGTGAGTGCATGTGTCTTTTTTGTACAAGTTTATTTTTCTTTGGATATACATACTCTGTAATGAGATTGCTGGGTCAAATAGTAGTTCTGTTTTTAATTTTTTGAGAAATTTCCAAACTGCTTTCCACAGTGGCTGAACTAGTTTACATTCCCACCAACCATGTATAAGTGTTCCCTTTTCCCCTCAGTGTCTGTTATTTTTTTTCTTTTTAATAATAGTCATTCTAACTGGTGTGAGATGGTATCTCATTATGGTTTTGATTTGCATTTCTCTGATGATTAGTGATGTTAAGGATTTTTTCATGTTTTTTGGCCAGTTGTATGTGTTCTTTTGTGGAGTGTCTGTTCATGTCCTTTGCACAGTTTTTAATAGGGTTATTTGATTTTTGCTCATTGAGTTAAGTTTCTTATAGATTCTGGATATTAGACCTTTTTCAGATACATAGTTTGCAACTTACTTTCTCCCATTTTGTGGGTTGCCCATTTACCCTGTGATAGTTTCTTTTGTTGTTCAAAAGTCCTTCAGTTTAATTAGTTCTCACTTGTCAATTTTTGTTTTTGTTGCATTTGCTTTTCAGGACTTAGTCATAAATGTTTTGCCAAGGCCAATATCCAGAAACCTCATTAATTGTAAAAGCCCAATATTAAATGTAAACTCATAAAGATGAGTGATATAGAAATAATAAAAACTCAAATAAATAACTTCAGCTAGAAAAGGGTAGAGAAATACAAAGAGCTGAGAAGTAAAAATATTATGTAAAATGATTCTATATCAATATTTCTCAAACAAATGTGACAATAGTGATGAAACATTTTTATGAAAATCCATTACAACCCATTTCAAGTAAGTTAGAAAATATTTTTAAAATGCTTCTTATATTCTTTGAAGCTTTAATTATGCTATGAAACACTGCTTGATATTGTCCTACCAGTCACTGAGACTAAGTTTACTTTTTTCCATGTTTTTATTTTCCCTCAGTGTGCTTTAGATTTTTTTTATTATGTCTCTGGATTTGCAGACCATTTGTCAGTAATGTACTACTTACTGTTAAGCTCGTGTAATTATTATTTTTAAATTTCAAATATTACATTAGTATTTATATTTTCAGATACTGTAGAAGTTTTTATTTTTAATAATTGCCATTTCTCTTCCCATTATATGCAACATCTGCTTTACATGCCTCATTATATATATAATGGTGGTTTTCAAATCCTTGTCCATAATTATATATATTTTTTGGTCTGTTTCTGTGGCCTACTTGATTTTATTTTCTGATAAGAGGTAACATAGTTTTGGTTTTCCACTTGTCTAGCAATTTTATATCAAATGTCATATTACAAATATTAGATTATTCAATATCTAAGTTGTATTACGTTCCTGCAGAACATGTGAGGTTTTGTTTTGGCAGGTTCTAAGCTATTTATGCATCAACTTGATCTTCCTGAAACTTGCTGATAACCCTTCCAAGGACTAGCCTAGACTTTACTCTACATTTATGTTGGCTCTACTCTCAAGAAATAATTTTCCTAGGGTCACTATTATGTTTGACACGAGCTCTTTACTCTCATCAAAATCTGAATGGCTCCTAGACCTGTCTGGCAATTTTTCAGCTTAGAGATCCCAGTGGTCCCTTTATGATGTTTTACCCTTAGGTATATAGCTCAGTTACTCAGTTAAAGACTTGAGGAGACCATTATGCAAACTTCTGGACCTCTTTTTCTAGACAACCTATTCCTTTCTGGGACTTTGTCCTGCAAAATCCAGCCAACTTGGCTTCCGCAAAATACATTATCTTTTTTCTTGGCTCTGTCAGGATTCTGTCCTATGCTTTGAGCAACCCTACATTGTGGTCTGAAAAATGTCTTCAAGTCAAAAACTGGAATAACTATAGAGCTCACTCAGTTGTGCACTGGAGACTACTCATAACTTTCTCAAGTTCTGATTATATGCTCCACATTCTTTTCGGAAACATGAATTGGAAACATATTCAATCATGTTGTGAGTATTTGTAACACAAAAATTGCAAATGCTAAAAACCAGGGCACATTTGATGTTTGTTTGGTTTTTGTTTTAGAGTGTGTGTGTGTATGTAACCAGTTGTTTTACCAGCAAATCACTGAACTAATTTTATTTCTTTCTATTATCTCAGGAATCAGTGTTCAGCTCCACCTGATTTCTAATAAGTTTTTCTTCATATATCTTGTCCTGTTTGCCAATTGTTTATGGCACTAAGGCAAATTTTGCACCACTTTCTTCGTAATAGCTAGGCAAAATTAAAAAGATAAATCAATTCTTATTAATGTTAAATTAGTCAAGTTCACCAGTCAAAAAATAAATATTAAATATATTCTATATGATACGTGTATATTCACCCAAAAAGAAAGGGCGTCTGTGTATTCTACCTTCTTAATTTAAACATAATATTAACTTTTTAAATGAACTGACTCTTTTTAACAACCAATGTTATGTATATAATATCCATATACATATGTACTTATGTGCATACATGTATACTTATATCTATATATACATTTTTTCATAATTAAGCTGTTTATTTTAATTTTTAGCACTCCAAAAATATGTGCAATCACTTGAACACTAGATCTTTGCAAACCTGTATTGAGGTCATAGATTCCATTTGTAAGTCCTAAGTTAGCTAACCCATTTTCTGGCAATTTTTTATATTAGTAATTCATTTTTATCATATTGCCATTGTCTCAACTATTGAAGTAGTTTCAAATTGTTTATATGTAAACAATTATATATATCATATATATAGGACATATAAAAACTGACATATAAAAAGAATACAAGATGTATTGATTTCATTAAATGTAAAATAAGTTATTTTGATACAGGTGATATTTATGTGTAAAGTTTATTCTTGTTAGAATTTTAAAAATTTGTATTTCTTTATCTGGAATTAACTACCAATTTCTATTGCAAATTATCTATCGATCCATTTGGACTTTTTTGTAAGTTTTTACTTTTGAAAAGAAAGTTTTTCCTTGTTTATAGAAGTTTTTGACATTTGGCACCATAATTTATTATGACTAATTGATTATGATTATCTCAGAAAGCTAAAACATGTAGAAAGCCAAGGGAACAGTAGAAATGTAGAAAATAAAAAATTTTCACCTGTAATATCTCCAGGGAAATACAGCAATTATTGGCATTGTGATGTACATTTTCCAGTATATTCTAGAATTCTTTAATATGTACTCTTTTGATCTGAGTAAAAAGTTATTGAATATTTATTCCATGGATAGGCACAAGCTTAAAAGTAATTTTAAAATTACTTTTTTAAATGAGAAATATGTTATTTTATTTTTGCTTTAAAAATACTTAGTTTTCCATAGATAAACATCAAATAACTTAGTTTCAAAACATGAATACAAAAGCAAATTGAAAAATTGTGTGGAAGAACTACACTGTTCCATTGAAATGAGAGTTAGAGTAAAAATAGACAGTGGAACCATCTGGAACAAATTAAATTGCAAAGGAAATAAGGAATAAATTTATTACTGTTCAAACTGAAAAATAAATCTTAATTGTATTCTTTTCTTATTTTATGTTAACCATATGGTTTGTAATTATTTTTCCCTTCTAGGAAAGAGCATGATTGTATACATAATATAAACTTCTGGACATATCTTTCATAGAAATGAAAATCTCTTTTTTGACTTTCTTCTGTTAATGTATAATCATAACCTAATCACTGTGAATTGACTTCAAAAAATCTAAAATAAATTATTCAGCACATTGACTGGTACTTTGTACAAAGAATTATTATTTATGAATATTCCTAGTATTACCATAAAATATTATTTTGCAAAAACTAAGTAAAACCTTAAATTTCATTTTTAAAATCATATGAATTTCCCAGTAGAGAAAAGATGGAAAGATAGAAAAGAGATATACAGATAGAAAATGGCAATGATAACATGAGGAATCGTGATTTAAAAAACAAATGGAAGGAAAAAGGAAGACAAAATTAAGGTTAAAAAAGAAATTTCAGAAAAGAAGGGGTTATTGGAATGCAGGTGTTATATTAATGTCTGTTTTCTCTCTTTCCATACCTTTATTATGAATGAGTGGCTATTGTTCATTTTTGTTAGTGTATTAAGAACACGCTTAAAACTGCTCCCTGGTAGGCCGAAGTGTACCTTACAGATAAGAGTATCCTTGATACTTGAAACAACATTATACTTCTTATAGATATTACTCAACATTTGTTTTTAAGGACAGTGAATACTATAAAAGTAATTCAATAGAATATGATCATTGCTGCCAATTTCTCTTAGCATATGTGAAACATGGAATATTCAACTCGATATTTAAAAACATAATCAAATCATATATAATAAGTCTCAAGTGAGCGATTTCAGATAGAGTACTGTTTTTTTAATTTCATGCTTCAAAATTTACCTATCTATATAAAATCCTGAATGAAGAAGTTTGTCATATGCCGAACCTTAGTTTGTGGTAATCATTCGAGGTTTTATCATATATCACATGCTAACCTTTTACCACAACTAATGAAGAATATTCGGCTGTAGGTTAATTTTCTTGACCTTTTTTTTTTTTTTTTTTTTTGAGATGTAGTCTTGTTCTGTCACCCAGGCTGGAGTGCAGTGGCTTGATCTCAGCTCACTGCAAACTCTGCCTCCCGGGGTTCAAGTGATTCTCCTGCCTCAGCCTCCTGAGTAGCTAGGACTACATGCGTTTGCCACAATACCTGGCTAATTTTTTTTTATTTTTAGTAGAGACGGGATTTTACCATGTTGGCCGGGCTGGTTTCGAACTCCTCACCTCAAGTAATCTGCCCATCTCAGCCTCCCAAAGTGCTGGGATTACAGGCATGAGCCACTGTGCCTGGCCAGTTTTCTTGACTATTTTATTTTATATTTTTAACATATCACTTTGAAATTTATAGCACATAGCTTTATTTTCTTTTTAAAATTTGCATTGTAAATATTTATTCTGATGTATTTGTAGATCCACAGGTAGTTACTGTATACAAAATAACACAGAGATTCCGCCTATGCTTTACCCAGTTTCCCTGCATGATAACATCCTGAAACCCATAGGACATATCACAACCAGTACATTAACATTGATACACTTTTTCCCTGTTTTACATGTTTTATGTTTGTGTATATATTGAGCTCAGTGCAATTTTGTCACATGTGTAATTTATTGTATCCATTACCTCAATCAAGGTACAGGACAGTTCCATTTCTGCAATTATCTTCATATTGCTCTTTTAAATCATATTCAACTCCCTGTCAATCTCAAACCCAACTATGTCTCTCCTACCTGGCAATCACAAATCTGTGCTTCATTTCGTAAATGGGATCACAAAGTATGAAGCCTATTGGGATTGCCTTTTTTGACTCCATGTAATTCTCTGGAGATTCATCCAAACTGTACATCTATAGTTCATTCCCTTTGGCTGTGTAATAATCCGTGGCATGGATGCACCATATTTTGATATAGGTGTTGTTTCCAGTTTTGAGCTATTACAAATAAAGCTGTTATGAACATTCACCTGTAGGCTTTTGTTTGAACATAAGTTTTATTTCTCTAGGAATAATCCCCAGGGGTCAATTCGCTAGATTGTATGTTTAGTTTTAATGCAGAACTGTTAAACATTTTTTTTTTTCCAGAGTGGGTGTACCAGTTCACAATCCCAATAGAAATGATGTAAGAAGCAGGACACAACTCCAGAGGTGGGGCTCAGACATGGAACCAGATTGAGGACAAGTTAACACAGGGCCTGGTAAGAAGCAGTTTTCTAATTAGACATGCCCACCAATGTGCCATGTCAATTTATCATTCCAATGGCAACACCCAGCTTTTACCGACTCTTTACATGGCTATGACCCAATGACCCAAGTTACTACCCCTTCCCTAGAAAATTCTGCATAAACCACGCCTTAATCTGCATGCAATTAAAAGTGGGTATAAATATGACTGCAAAGCTGCCCTGAGCTACGGTGGTCTGCCTACTACTGGGTAGCCATGCTCTGCAGGAGCAGTCATGGAGCTGTAACTCCATCAGACTGTAACACTGCCTCTTCAATACAACTGTTTTCTTCTACATCTGGCTTGCCTTTGAATTCTTTCCTGGGCAAGGCCAAGAACCCTCACAGGCTAAACTCCACTTTGGGGCTAGTTTGCCCTGTATGAGAAATGTTTGAGTCCAGTTCCTCTACATCCTAACTCACATTTGACACTGGCATTGATTTTTTATGTATTTATCGATTTTGTTCTGTATTGTTTTGCCACTTGGATAGGTGTGTATGCCTGGTTCATTTTGATTACTGTATGTATGGTTCATTTTGGGTTTCTCCAGTGTCTGATGATGTTGAACATCTTTGCATGTGCTTACCTGCCACTGGGACATCTTCTTCAATGAAATGTATCTTGCTGTTTTTTGCTCATGTCATAATTGGGTTTTCTTTTGAGAATTCTTTACATATTGTAGATACTATCCATTTGTCAAATACATGGCTAGCAAACATTTTCTTCCCATATGTAGCTTTGTTTCACTCTTTATAGAGTGAAATATTTAGATTTCAATGAAGTCCAATTTGTCATTTTTCCCTTATGGTTCATGCTTTTGATGTAAACAATAAGGATTCTGTCCATCATAGATTCCAAGTATTTGTTCTATATTTTTAGCTACAAGTTTCACACTTTTACATTTTACATTTAATCTGTGGCTTATTATGAGTTAAATTTTGTATAAAATGTGAGAGGTTTGAAGGTTGAGTTCTTATTTATTTTTTACTTGCCTTTTTTTTTTATCTGTAAGTGTTCAATTGCTCGAGAACCGTTATTTGAAAATGTTATCTTTTCTGCAATGAATTGCCTTTGGAACTTTGTCAAAAATTAGTTAGGGGTATGTTTGTGGATTTAGTATATTTGGGCTTTTTGTTCTCTTCAATTAAGCTATGTATCTATACCTCCACCAAGACTAGACTATATTATTACTAATAGCTATATAGTACTTTACGTTGAGTGGGGTAATTTTTTCTACTTTATTTTCCATTATCAGGACTGGTGTGGCTATTCTAGTGACTGTGACTTTCTGTGTAAATTTCAAAATATTTTTGTCTTTTGTCTACAGAAAAAACCCCTTGCTGGGATTTTGGTAGCACCTGCCTAAACCTATAGATCAACTTGGTAGAATTAATGTCTTTACTCTGCCAAGTCTTTCAATCTATTCACCCAATATAGCTCTTCATTTATTTAGCACTTTGAAAATTTCTTTCATCATTATTTTGCATTTTTCAACTGACATTTCCTGTATATGTTTTATTAAGTTTATAATTAAGTATATGTTTTTTGGAGGAAGTATACATGTATTTTTTAAAATTTTATTTCAATATGTTTATTGTTAGTATATAGACATGTGATGATTTTTGTTGGTTGTATATTTTGTCCTGTGTTCTTGGGTCTTGTGGCCTTGTTGTAATCACTTATTAGTTACAGCTGATTTTTTTTTGTAACTTACTTAAGATTTTCTACATAAACAATTATGTCATCTACAAAGAGAGACAACGTCTTTTCAATCTACTTGCTCTTTGTTTCCTTCTCTTGACTTACAACAGTAGAAAGAACTACCAGTAGTTCATTAAATAAAGTTCATATGAGTGGACATATTTGTCTTGTTTCTAACCTTGAGGTATAGGGAGGATTCAGGGTTTTGCCATTACAAATAATTTTAGATGCAGTTTTTGGTTTCTGTTTTGCTCTGTTTTGTTTTGGGTAGGCACTCCATATTACATTTAGGTAATTCTCTATTTCTGATTGTTGACCTGTGTGTTGGAGTTTGACAAAAGGGTTTTTTTTTTTAGTCAATTTATATAATCATAGAAATTTCCTTTAGTCTGTTGATGTGGTAGATTACACTGATTAATTTTCAAATATTGAACTGGACTTGCATAACAAAAATAAATCTAACTTGATCATAGTTTATAATGATGTGTATACATTATTAAATTCAGTTTGCAGATATTTTTTGATAGCTTTTGTGTCTGAGTTCATAAGATACTTGTCTAGATTTTTCTTATTTGGGCTAATTTTGATTTGGGACAGGGAAATACTGGGTTCATAAAATTAGTTGAGAAATCCTTTCTTCAATTCTAGTTTCTGAAAGAGATTGTATGAAGTTGGTGTTAATTCTTCCTTAAACATTTGAAATAATTCTCAACTGAAACCATCTAAGCCAGAAGAAATCCTGTTTCAGGAGCTTCTTAAATACAAATTCAGTACCTTAATGGTGACAGGACTATTCAGAGTACCTATTTCCTCCTGAGTTGGGCTTCAGTGGTTTGTCATTTTAAGAAATTGGTTATTTTTTTTTCTAATTGATCAAATTAATGAGTGTAAAGTTAATCACTGTATCCCCTTATTATCCACTTGATGACAGCAGAATCTATAGTAATACCTCTAGTTTATTCCTGACGTTAATGATTATTAGCTTCTCTATTTTTGGCAGTCTCACTAGCAGTTCAACACTTTTATTGAAACTTTCAAAGTACTAACTCTTCGTTTCACTGATTTTTCTCTATTGTTTTTATATTTTTAATTTCAACTATTACTGCTATCTTTATTATTTTCCTTCTGCTGGCTTTAAGTTTATTTTTTCTCTACTGGTTTGTATTTCTTGAGAAAGCAAGTTCTATTATCTATTTGATAACTTTCTTTTCTAATGTAAAATTTAGTGCTATAAATTTTCCTCCCAGAACTGTCTTGGCCACATCACACATACTTTGATGAATGTTTGTCCCCATTTTTTTAAGTTTTATGCACTAAAAAAATTTATTTTGAGGCTTCCCATGTGTTAGACACACGAACTATTTATAAGTGTGCTGTTTAATTTCCAAGTGTTTAGATAATTTTTGTTATCTCTCTGTTACTGATTTCTAGTTCGAGTTTGTTATAGTTAGATATAAATCTCGGCAGGATTTTAATTCTTTGAAATGTTGAGTTTTGTTTCATCACCCAGGTTGTGGTCTATCTTGTTCAATGTTCTATGGACTCATGAAGAAAGTGTATTCCTCTGTTTTTTGCTGAAGTATTCTATGCATGTCAAATACATCCTGTTAGTTGATAATATTGATTAGATCAATAGTCTACTGATTTATGGTCAATAGTTCATACAGTTGTGTGTCTACAAGGATGTGTTAAGGACCCAAATTATAATTGTGTGTCTATTTCTTAACTATTTTGAATTATTTACTCAATTTTCTGAGTAAAACTTTCTCACTCTATTAGTTATTTTTCAACATTAATCATGTTTTAACTTTCTAACCAAACAATTTCTTTTTAAAAAAATTTTACTGTGACTCATCTGCCAGTTAACTCTTTTAAATAAGTCTCTATTCCACTCTTCATGCTTTTTTAAAAAATATATTACAGTCATGATGGAAATGATAGTTAAATTCTATTCAATTACTACTATACAGTTACTTTTAGTTTAGGGTAAAATCTATATACATGTTCAATATGTTGTAGTATGTGCATATCCCCATACATACTCACACAACAAGCATGCATTCATGCACTGCCATATTCCAAAATGCCTAATTATATCAGCAAATGTTTTCTAAATAAAATACACAATTTTTGATCTTTTAAATAATGATGTACCTAACCCTCAATAATTATGATGCTAGACATTTTAAAACCAAACCTTTCATAGTACTTGAAATATTTCAGAATTTGTAGTTTCTATTTCTATTTGCAATTATGACAGTTTAACAACAGACAAGCTCATAACTCTTGCATATACATGAAAGTAAAAGCATATATAACTGCATTTAATTGAATTCCATATTCTTAATCTTAACTGAAAAACAGATGCAAAATTTAAATTTGCTACATGAATCACTTTATGTTATTTTTCCTCTATGTCATTTAGCATGTGTGTTTCTCAAAGTAAAATGGCTTAGTATCAACTAATAAAACACTGCAATTATGCCAGTTTGACTCCATAACTATTGTATAAAGTTTATGTCTTCAGATTCTCCTTTCATATTACAGTTTTCTTGGTTTTATTTTTCTTTCTGTTAATCATGTTGGTGATGGTGGTGATGATGATAATGCCCATGGTGATTCTGCACACATTCCAGAGTAGCAGCAGCACAATAAAATATCTGCATGAGCTTTTGTGACTTGCCAAAACAGCCATGCTAGAGATTGTTTAGCACCACAAAAAGAAAATAATGGAAGACACAGTGGAGAAGAGGTGGAGCAAGATGATGGAATGGAAAACCCCAACAATTCTGCCCTCCACAGGAACACCAAGTTCAACAACTATCTACACACACACACACACACACACACACACACACCCACACACACATCTTCGTAAGAATCAATAATAAAGTGAGCACTCACAGTACCTGGTTTTGACTTCATATTTTTCAAAGAGGCACTGGAGAGGGAAAGAAAGACAGTCTTCAACTGTCAATGCTACCCCTTCCCCTATCATCCCACAGTGCCCTCATGCTGCAGAGAAATCTGTGCACTTGGAAGAGGGAGAGTGCAGCAATTGTAAGACTTTGCATTGAACTCAGTGGTGCCCGGTCACAAGGGAAAATGAAACTGGGCATAACTCAGCTGATACCTGACCACAGAGAGAGCATTCAGACCAGTCCTAGACAGAGGGGAATTGCCCATCCTAGTGGTCAGAACTTGAGTTCCAGCAGGTCTTGCAAATGTGAACTGAAGTGCTCTGGGGCCATAAATAGACTGGAAAGGCAGTCTAGTCCACAAGGACTGCAAATAAACTGAAAGGCAGTCTAGTCCACAAGTCCTAGAGCTGAACTAGGCTCAGAGCCAGTGGACTTGGAGGGCATGCCAACTACTGAGATACCAGCCAGGGCAGCTAAGGGAGTGTTTGTACCACCTCTCTCCCAGGCCCAGGTAGCTCATGGCTCCAAAAGAGACCCCTTTCTTCCTCTTGAGGAGATGACAGGAAATAATAAAGAAGACTTTGTTCTTGCATCTTGCACACTTGTTCAGCCACAGTAGGATAGGGCATCAGTCAAAGTTGTGAAGCCCTAATTCCAGGTGCTAGTTCCTGGATGACAATTCTAGACACACAGTAGGCCAGAAGGAAACCCACTACCTTGGAGGGAAGGACCCAGTCCTGGCAAAAACCATCACGTGCTGACTAAAAAGCCCTTGGGACCTGAATAAACAGCAGTGATAATGAGATAGTACAACATGGGCTTTGGGTGAGAATCTGAGATGGCTTCAGGTGAGACCCAGCACATTCCCAGTTGTGATGGCTGTGGTAAGAGACTCCTTCTTCATAAGAAAAGCAGAGTGAAAAGTAAAGTAGACTTCATCTTGCACCTTAGATACCAGCTTGGCCACAGTAGAGTAGCATACCAAGCAGACTCTTGAATCCCCTTATTCCAGGCCTTGGCTATTAGATGGCATTTCTGGACCTTCCCTGGGCCAGAAGAGAACTTACTGCCCTGAAGGGTGAGTCCCAGGCCTGGCAGCATTCACCAAAAGCTGACTGAAGAGGCTTTGAGCCTTAAGTGAACATCGGTGGTATCCTGGCAATACTCCCTGTGGGCCTCTGGTGGTGTTGGCCATGTGGTGAGGCTCTTTTGCCTGTGGAAAGGGGAGGGAAGAGTAGGAAGGACTGTGTTTCATGGTTTGAGGGCCAGCTTAGTCACAGTGGAATGAAACACCAGGTAGATTTCTAAGGTTGTTGGCTCCAGTCCCTAGCTCCTAGAAGGCATCTCTGGACCTGTGTGAAATCAGAGGGAACTCACTGCCCTGAAGAAAAGCACGTAAGGCTGGCTGGCTTTGCTTCCTGATGATAGTAGAGCCCTAAAGCCTTGAGAAAACATAGACAGTAGCCAGGTAATGGCTATAGCAGACCTTGGGGGAGATCCAGTGTTGTGCTGGCTTTAAGTCTGACCCAGTGCAGTTTTAAGGGTGGTGATCACAGGAGTACTTGTGTCACCCAATCCCTAGCACCAGATGGCTCGTCACAGAGAGAGAGTCTGTTTGTTTGGGAGAAAGTAAGGAAAGACAATGAGATTATGTTTCTGGTAATCTGGCAATTTTTTTCGGATCTTATCTAAGAATATCAAGGTGGTACCTCTAAGGGTCTTCAAGAACCACAGCATTACTGCATTTGGGCTGCCCTGTTACTGTAGACATGTCTAGATTACAACACCCAAGTCTTTTTTAATACCTGGAAAGCATTCCCAAGAAGCATGAGTACAAACAAGCCCAGACAGAAGATAACAATAAGTGCCCAAACACCAACAAACATCAACAGGCATCAAGACCATTAAGGAAAACATGTTATAACCAAACAAACTAAATAAGGCACCAAGGACGAATCTTGGAGAAACAGAGCTATGTGACATTTAGACAGAGAATTCAATATGGCTGTATTGAAGAAACTCAAGGAGAGTCAAGATAACACAGAGAAGGAATTCAGAATTCTATTTGATAAATTTAACAAAAAGATGGAAATAATATTTAAAAATCAAACAGAAATTCTGGAGTTGAAAAATGCAATTGACATATTGAATAATGCATACTAGTCTCTTAATAGCAGAATTGATCAAGCAAAAAAAAAAATTGTGAGCCTAATGACATGGTATTTGAAAATACACAGAGGAGACGAAAAAAGAATTTAAAAAACGACTTATGCCTACAAAATCTAGGAAATAGTCTTAAAATGGCAAATATCAGAGGGCCTTAAAGAGGAAGTAGAGAAAGAGTTAGGGGTAGACAGTTTATTCGAAGAAACAATAACAGAGAGCTTCCCAAACCTAGAGAAAGATATCAATATCCAAATACAAGAAGGTTACAGAATGCCAAAGAGATTCACCTCAAAGAAGACTACCTAACAGCATTTAATATTCAAACTCCCAAAGGTCAAGGATTTAAAAAAGATCTTAAAAGCAGCAAGAGAAAAGAAACCAATAACATACGATGGAACTCCAGTACATCTGGCAGCAGACATCTTGGTGGAAACCTTACAGGTCAGGAGAAAGTGGCATAATATATTTAAAATGTTGAAAGAAAAAAAAATTTACACTAGACTATTATGTCTGGCAAAAATATCTGTCAATCAGGAAGGACAAATAAAGACTTTTCCAGACAAACAAAAGCTGAGGACTTTTATCAACTCCAGACCTGTCCTATTGCTAAAGAAAGTACTTCAATCAGAAAGTAAAGGACATTAATGAGCAATAAGACATCATCTGAAGGTACAAAACTCATTGATAATAGTAAGTACACAGAAAAACACTGTACATTATAACATTAAACTGTGGTGTGTAAACTGCTACACAGAAAAACACTGTACATTATAACATTAAACTGTGGTGTGTAAACTACTATTATCTTAAGAAAGACTACAAGACGAATCAATCAAAAATAATAACCAGAACAACTTCTCAAGGCATAAATACTACAAAATAGAAAGAACAAAAAGTTAAGAAATGGAGGGGGATGATATTAAAATGTAGAGCTTTTACTATTTTTTTCTTTCCTGGTTGTTTATTTATGCAAGCAGTGTTGTTATCAGCTGAAAATAATGGATTATAAGATATTATCTGCAAGCCTCTGGTATTCTCAAATCAAAAAACATGCAACAGACACACACACACACCAGAAAACAAATAAAATGACGGGAGTAAGTTCTTACTTATTAATGAGATGCTGAATGTAAATGGACTAAAGTATCCAACAAAAAGACATAGACTGGCTGAATGGATAAAAAATATAAGACCCATTGATCTGTTGCCTATACGAACATATTTCTCCTATAAAGAGAAAATAAACGGATGAAAAAAGATATTCCATGCCAATGGGAACCAAAAAAGAATAGGACTAGCTTTACTTATATCAAACAAAATAGATTTCAAGACAAAAGCTATAAGAAGGGAACAAGAAGTCATTGTATAATGATAAAGGGGTCAAATTAGCAATGGGATACAACAATTGTAAATACATGTGCACACAAAACTGGAGCACCTGGATATATATAGCAAATATTATTAGAGCTAAAAGAGAGACCTCAATATAATAATAACTGGAGACCTCAACATCCCATTCGCAGCATTGGACAGATTTTTCCAGGCAGAAAATCAACAAAGAAACATTAGATTTAATCTGCACTATAGAAAAAATGGACCCTAATAGATATTTTCAGAACATTCCATCCAATGGCTGCAGAATACACATTCTTTTTCTCAGCATATGAATCATTCTCAAGGATAGACCATATATTAGGTCACAAAACAAGTCTTAAAACATTTAAAAAAACAATGAAATAATATTAAGCATCTTCTCAAGACACAATGGACTAAAACTAGAAATTAATAAGGAATAATTTTCTAAACTATACAAACACATGGAAATTAAACAATATATGCTCCTGAATGACCATTGTATCAAGATCAAATTAAGAAGAAAATTGAAAACGTTCTTGGAAAAAAAAAAGATAATGGAAACACAACATACCAAAACCTAATGATACAGCAAAAGCAGTACTAAGAAGGAAGTTTATAGATATAAGTGCCTACATCAAAAAAGAAGAAAAAGTTCAAATAAACAATCTTACAATACATCTTAAAGAACTAAAAAGGAAGAGCAAACCACACCCAGACTTAGAAGAAAAGAAATAATGAAGATCAGAGCACAGATAAATAAAATTGAAACAAAGAAAACAATACAAAAGATTAATAAAAGAAAAATTGGGTTTTTGAAAAGATAAAGACCCACATAAATAAAATTAAAGATGAAAAGGGAGATATTACCACTGATATAGCAAAAGTTCAAAGGATATTTAGTAGCTACTATGAGCAATTATATGAGAATAAATTAGAAAATCTAGAAGAAATGGACAAATTCCTAGACACATACAACCTACTGAGATTGAATCATAAAAAAAATACAAAACCTGAACAGACCAATAACAAGTAATGAGATCAAAGCCACAATAAGAATTCTCCCAGCAAAGAAAACATTAGGACCAGATGCTTTACTGCTGAATTCTACCAAATCCTTAAAGAAGAACTAATACCAGGGTTACTCACACTTTTCCAAAAACTAAAGAAGAGAATAATTCCCAATTTATTCTACAAGGCCAGTATTACCCTGATAGCAAAACCAGACAAAGACACATCAAAAAAACAAAACAAAACAAAACAAAACTACAGGCTAATGTCACTGATCAATATTGATGCAAAAATTCCCAAAAAATACTAGCAAACCAAATTCAACACATGAAAAAGATTATTCCTTATGACTGTATTAGTTCATTTTCATACTGCTATAAAGAACTGCTCAAGACTGGATAACTTATAAGGGAAAGAGGTTTAATTGACTCACAGTCTAGTATAGCTGGGGAGGCTTCAGGAAATTCATAATCATGGTGGAAGACAAAGGGGAAGCAAGTCACCTTCTTCACAAGGTGGCAGGAAGAAGAAGTGCTGTGTGAAGGGGGAAGAGTCCCTTATACAACAATCAGAGATCATGAGAACTCACTATCATGAGAAGAGCATGGGGAATACCCCCCTCCCCAGCCCCATGATTCAATTACCTCCACCTGGACTCTCCCTTGACACATAGAGATTATGATAATTACAATTCAATATGAGATTTGGGTGGAGACAAAAAGCCTAACCATATCAATGACCAAGGGGGATTTATCTCAGAAATGCAAGGATGGTTCAACATATGCAAATCAATCAATGTGATACATCATATCAACAGAATGAAGGGCAAAATCCATATGATTGTTTTAATTGATGCTGAAAAAAACATAATAAAATTCAACATCTCTTTCTGGTGAAAACCATCAGAAAACTGGGTATAGAAGAAACATTTCAACATAATAAAAGCCTTATATTACAGGACCATAGCTAGTATCATAATGAAAGGGGGAAAATTGAAAGCCTTTCCTCTAAGATCTGGAACACAACAAGGATGCCCATTCTCACCACCATTATTCAACATAGTACTGGAAGTCTTAGCTAGAGCATTCAGACAAGAAAAAGAAAGTGCATCCAAATTGGAAAGAAAAAAGTTAAATTATCCTTATTTGCAGATGATATGATTATATATTCCAAAAAAAAACCAAACCAAAAGATTCCACCAAAAAAAGCCTATTATAACTGATAAACAAATTTGGTGAAGTCGCAGGATACAATATCAACATACAAAAATCCGTAGCATTTTTGTATACCAACAATGAATAATCTGAAAAAGAAATCAAGAAAGTATTCCCATTGATAATAGCTACAGATAAAGTAAAATACCCAGGAATCAACTTATTCAAAAAAGTGAAAGTTCTCTACAATGGAAACTATAAAACATTGATGAAAGACATTGAAGACACAAAATAATGAAAAAATATTTTATTATCATGGATTAGAAGAATCAATATTATTAAAATGCCCACAATACTCAAAGCAATCTATGGATCCAATGTGATCCCCATCAAAATGCCAATGACATTCTTCACAGAAATAGAAAAAACAATCCCAAAATTTATATGGAACCACAAAAGAACCAGAATAGCCAAAGCTATCCTAAGCAAAAAGAACAAAATTGGAGGAATCAAATTAACTGATTCAAATTATACTACAGAGCTGTAATGAACAAAACAACATGATACTGACATACAAACAGACATATAGACCAGCGGAACAGAACAGAGAACCCCAAAATAAATCCATACATCTACAACGAACTCATTTTTGACAAAGTTGCCAAGAATGTACTTTGGGGAAAGGGCAGTCCCTTTAATAAATGGTGCTGGAAAAACTAGATATCCATATACAGAAGAATGAAACTACTAGAACTCTATCTCTCTCCATATACAAAAACAAATAAAAATGGATCAAAGGCTTAAATCTAAGACCTCAAAGTATGAAATTACTGAAATAATACATGGGGAAACTCTCCTGGACATGGAAGTGGGCAAAGATTTCTTGAGTAATATCCCACAAGCATAGGCAACAAAAGCGAAATTGGACAAATAGGATCACTTCAAGTTACAAACCATCTGTACAACAAAAGAAACAATCGAAAAAGTGAAGAGACAATCCACAGAATGGACAAAAATATTTGCAAACTATCTGTCTGGCAAGGGATTAGTACCCAGAGTATATAAGGTGCTTAAACAACTCTATGGGAAAAACTCTAATAATCTGATTAAAAACGGGCAAAAATATCTGAATAGACATGTCTCAAAAGAATACATGCAAATGGCAAATAGTTATATAAAAAGGTGCTCGACATCATTAATTATCAGAGGAATTACAAATCAAAATTACAATGAGTTATAATTTCACCCCAGTTAAAATTGCTTTTACCCAAAGACAGACAATAACAAATGCTGGCGAGGATGTGGAGAAAAGGGAATCCTCATACACTGTCGGTGGAAATGTAAATTAGTACAACCGCTATGGAGAACAGTTTGAAGGTCCTTCAAAACACTGAAAATAGAGCTACGATACAATCTAGCAATCCTGCTTTTAGGTATATACCAAAAAAAAAAAAAAAAAAAAGAAAACAGTATATGGAAGAGATATCTGCACTCCATGTTTATTGCAACACTATTCACAATAGCCAAGCTTTGGAAGCAATCTAAGTGTCCATCAACAGATGAATGGATAAAGAAAAGTGGTACATATATGCAATGGAGTACCATTCAGCCATAAAAAAGAATGAGATCTTGTCATTTGCAACAACATTAATGGAACAGAAGGTCATTATGTTAAGTAAAATAAGCCAGGCACAGAAAGGCAAACTTCATATGTTCTCACTTATTTGTGGGAGATAAAAATTAAAACAATTGAACTCATGGAGACAGAGAGTAGAAAGATGGTTGCCAGAGGCAGGGAAGGGTAGTAGTGGGTTGTGGGGGGTAGTGGAGATGGCTAATAGGTATAAAAAATAACTAGAAAGAATGAATAAGACCTAGTATTTGCTAGCACAACAGAGTGATTATAGTCACAAATGAAAATTGTACATTTTAAAACAACTAAAATAGTATAATTGTATTGTAACACAAAGGATAAATATTGAGGTGATAGATACCAATTTACCATGATATGATTATTACACAAGGCATGCCTGTATCAAAACACCTCATGCAATCCACAAATGTATACACCTACTATGTATCCCAAAAATGAAAAATTAGAAAAAATTAATTAAAAAAGTAATGGGAGAAAGGATGCTTGGAAAGGCGCAGCTTTTTGTGGAGATATAAAGACACAAATATACATGTACTGAAACTCTAAAATGATTACCCTATTAATAAATTTTGCTGGTGTGAATCAATTAAAAACTCACTATTTTTTAAAAACTAGGATTCCTTATTAATTTGATTCCATATAATTGTGGACATGATGCTTTCTGGTGTGCATATGTGTGTATGAGTATGCATGTATATTTTGTCAAAAGAGTTAATAACATTTAAAAAATATTTCAAATTAGCCGGGCGTAGTGGCAGGCGCCTGTAGTCCCAGCTACTCAGGAGGCTGAGGCAGGAGAACGGTGTGAACCTGGGGGGTGGAGCTTGCAGTGAGCTGAGATTGCGCCACTGCACTCCAGCCTGGGCGACAGTGCGAGACCCCATCTCAAAAAAAAAAAAAATATATATATATATAATATATATATATGTATATATATATATATATATATATATAATATATATATATATATTTCCAAATCAGAGGAAAACAGATCTGAAGGTTGTTAATGCAGCCTATATTATGTTCTTTAAATGTGATGCTTATTGCTTGAAGTATTTTCAAAGGACTCAAAATGATTTCTTTTTTTTTTTTTCATTTGAGATGCAGTCTCGCTCTGTTACACAGGCTGGAGTGCAGTGGGGCGATCTCGGCTCACTGCAACCTCCACCTCACCTCCCAGGTTCAAGCAATTATCCTTTATCAGCCTCCTGATTAGTAGGGACTACAGGTGCAAGCCACCACGCCTGGCTAATTTTTGTATTTTTAGTAGAGACGGTCTTTCACCATTTTGGTCCTGACCTCAGGTTATCCACCCATGTCGGCCTCCCAAAGTGCTGGGATTACAGACGTGAGCCACCTCGCCTAGCTTCATAATGATTTCTTATTATATTGGTATATTTCTGTCTGACTCTCAGGAGACCCACTAAGATGTTACAAAGATCAAACCGTCTATGGAAATAATGTTTCTGTAACAATGAAAGGGGGACATCAATAATAAAAATCAGTTGAGATATTCAGTGTTTTCCTTACTTCATTTAGTTTCATGTCCTTTCTCCACTTGCCTTCCTCTTCATCTTTTTCATTGGGAGCAAATTAAACCATTGTTTTGCGACAAGCATTCCTCGAAGGCACTGATGGCAGCTTTTGAAAACAATTTCAAACTGTAAAAACCTCTTACCAATCTCAAAGCACATGGCCCTTGACAATTTTCTTCTGCTATTAAATATTTCAGTGTCCAGGAATGAACAAAGCAATGTGTATACTGAATGTATGATAAACAAACATGACTTTAAGTTTATAAAACACAACTTCAAATTAAGCGGGATGACCAAGTGAGCATAAATCAGGGCTTTGACCTCATCAATTGTGCCACTTTAACTTCATGGTCCTTGCACTGTAAGACCCTCTCTTCTGAGGATAACAGTCCCTCGGCCCGCCCTTCATTATTAATCTTCAGCATTACCCACCACATTAGGAAAAGAAAAAGGAAAGATTTGTATACTCTGTTTAGAAAACCTGTCCCTTTCATATGAATACTGAAATTTATATGCCAAGAATTATTTATCAACAATGTATATTGACATTAAAATTGCCCTTAAGAAACACAAATTCAGTGGAAGCATACACTGGAACAGAACTTTGCTGCTGTTGGCTTCTGTGTGTATACAAAAGATTTGTGTATTAATTGGCTAACTTTCAGCACATAGATGAAAACCGATGTAAATGAAACCAGCATGGAAGCCTCTGATATTATAGAAGGTCATTAAAAATTTAGGGGAGATTCAGAGCATCACTACACAAAGTGTGTTCCACAGACAAGTAGCATTAACAGGACCTGGCAGCTTGTTTGAAATGCAAACTCTCAGGCAACTATCCAGGACTACTGAATCAGGATACACAATTGGACAAGATCCCCAGGTGTCTTCTATGAACATAAAGGTTTGAAAGCTCAGATTAAGAGGATGAGCCAGACTTGTTGCCCCAGAGAGAATGAGTAGTTGTGTGCAGGAAATGCGAGACTTTTAATATAAAGTTCAGAGAGCATATATGGACCAGGAGTTTAATTTATTTCAGGGGACAGAAGCATACAAATGATAATAACAAGAGGCACATAAGATTTAGAGAACTCTTAATTCCTTGGGTACTAAATATTTTGAGACAAAGGTTTAGAAATTATAAAAATTGAGTATAACTAATGCGATATTTTATTTTTAGATTTAACACATTTTGAAAAATAAATATTGCATTTGAAGCCAACTATTCAAGTAAAATAATAGGCCAGTCAACTAGATATGGAATGTAGCAAGCTAAAGAAAAGAGAAAAAAGCCAGAAACAAACAAACAAATAAGCATATACAAGTAGAAATAAAATGGTACTTTTTTTCCAATTATAGACTATCTTCAAATGTATTTCCTGAATCTAACCAATGCCCCTTTTACTGCTGCTATCTGTTGGACTGCCATCACTGTCCACATGGATTATTCCATTAGCCTGTTGGGTGTTCTCCAAATTTCCTCTCTTACCTTTGCTGTGCCATTTCTCTCCATGGAGGCCAGAGTGATTTTTTAAAATTTTGAATCAGGTTATGACATTTTCCCATTTAACACTCTCTGAAAGTTCTTGAATCACGATCATTAATAGTAATAATAGCTAATAATCCTCATTACATTTGATACTACTACCAATGACAGCTAAGGTGTCTATAATGTTTACCATGTGTCATGCAGAGTTTTAAGTAGGTATAAATACTTACAAATACTCTTTCTCCAAATATGATGGTTACTCTCAGGAGCCTACAAGAAAAAAATGGAAGTGCTGTAGGTTAAACAGCCTGACACTGGTAATACAGGATAGAGCTAGAATTGAGCCAAAGAAATTTGACTTCCATCTTAACTTTTAATTACCCTTTGTTAACACAAAGGATAATTAAACTTGTGTTACTACAAAGGAATATCTGAGGCTGGATAATTTGTAAAGAAAAGCGGTTTATTTTGACTCATGATTCTGCAGATGGAAAAGAAGCACAGTGCCAGCATCTGCATTTGGTGAGGGCCTCAGGAAACCTACAGTTATGGAAGCAGGCAAAGCGGGATCAGGTGTGTTACATGTCTTCTAAACAACCAGCTCTCATGTGAGCTAATAGAGAACTCACTCACTACCACAAATACAGCACCAAGCCATTTATGAAGGGTCTGCACCCAGGACCCAAAAGCTTCCCACTAGGCCCCACCTCCAAAATGGAGGGGAGGGGGTACAGTTCAACATGAGATTTAGAAGAAACAGATATTCAAAATATATCACCCTTCTATATACATTTTCATTTATGCCCATAGGGACTTTTATGACCTCTTACTTGACAACTTCTCCCACCTATCTGTTATCATTCCCTGCTTAATTAACTTTGGCTGCACAACTGAGACTTATTTCTCTCCATTGAACATGACAAACAGGTACTTACCTCCCAATTCCAGGTAAGTTCTTACCCAGATATTTTCAGAGCTTGTTTACTTGCTGGTCACCTCTTCAGAGAAGCTATTTGTCCACCTAGTCTACTAAAAATACAAAATTAGCCGGACGTGGTGGTGCATGCCTGTAATCCAGCTACTTGGGAGGCTGAGGCAGGAGAATCGCTTGAACCCGGGAGGTGGAGGTTGCTGTGAGCCGAGATTGGGCCACTGCACTCCAGCCTGGGCAACAAAAGCGAAACTCCGTCTTAAAAAAAAACAAAAAACAAAAAACAAAAAGAGCATCCTTTATCAATCACTATTTTTTCATCATGCTTTATTTTTTATCAGAGTACTGATCAGCATGTATGCAGCATTAAAATGTGAAGTCTTCACTGGTATATGTTTCTATAATAAAATTAGTCTCTAAAGGATGGAAACAAAGGAAGATACCGTGTGAGCCATAGAAGTAGCCCCACAAAACTCATGCGCTTCAGGCTGAACATTCCCAGCCTGAGGAAATAAGAACTTGAATTCTCAGGTTGCACTGACAGTGAAATAACTGACACTGAACCTGATATTTATAAGTAGTGGTTAGAAAATGACTGCCTGGATTAAATCTTTAATTTGCCTCATCTTTTTATGGTCTAACTTAATACATGGTGCTCAAGTCTCATCAAATAAATATAGATACGCAATTTTGACACTATGGCATTCAACAAGCATTAGTTTATTAAAGATTAATCGCATTGTGGAATCTGAAAACATGTAAACAAACTTTTCAGACAATAATTTAAAAAATGTTATTCTGTCTTGCATTTTTAATGGATCTTTAATCTGTGCATAATTTTGTATCATCGGGTTCTTGGTTATTTGGAAAGTATTTATTCACTGAGCTATGCAAGTCTTCCAAATGTTGATATATTTTATTAAATAATATTTTTTAAACTCAAAATTATTCTCTCCACTGATTTGATCAGCAAATCCTTCAAGTTTGAAAGGTGTCAAGCACATGGTGGCAAATATGAGTTTTGTAAAATTCTAATTTTTTAACTTGAAAGCTCAGATTTTATCATTGACTACGAACACTTGTTTTCCTACAGGTGACAGGTTCACTTCATCTATTTTCAAGAAACTATCACCGCATGCAGAAATTCAATTAAACATAGTTTATCTGTCATTCTTTCAAATAAAAATAGTGTTCCTTTTTTTTTTAAGTGGCTATTTTAGTTTGTAGTCCAAAAAAATCACAGAAGCATTTTCTCTTTGAGAGACAATTGTACTTTGGTATGCAGCAAAATGCTTTATGAATACACTTTATTTCATCACTCAATGTATTAAAAATGTATCTATCCAAAGGTTGAGGTTTTGCTGGTTTGTTGTTGTTGTTGTTGTTTTTTCTGCTAGAAGAAATGCCTAATTGAAACCGGTGGCTTTTTCTTTCTCCTCCTACCCGTCCTCCTCTCCCTTTTAAATTTTTCCTGCAAATGCAAAGACAGTGTCAGGACTGTGAGCACTAGTAGGACTGTAAGGCACTAGTAGTTTCACCTACAATTGCTTTTATACCATCAGTCCAAATATCAATACAATAAAAAAGACCAGAAATAAGTCTTAGCATTATTTTGAAAGTAATTTTAACACACAAACTACCTGAATGAGTGTTAGAGTTTCACAAGCATCTATGGACAACACTTTGAGAACTACAGCTCTATAGAGCAGTCAAGTAAGAAGCAATTCCTTGTACACCAAGTCTATGACTACTCTCGAGGTACTCAACTGTAGTTCTCCGAGACTGCATTTTAGGAACTTTTAATAACGATATTTAAATAACTATGTAGAATGAAAGTATTTAAATAATACAATTTTTTTAAGTCTTGGGAAAACAACAAAAATTAACAATTATCTAGAACCCACTGAACACAATATCTGGAGCAATGGTTAAATGCCAACATTATGCATGCAAGGTGTGCCCAATATCTATCAAGCAGGCTGAAATATACACCATTGGCACTCTTTCTTGGGAGTATCACAGGGTGATAGTTACTGTGAATAATTTCACTTGAAGTCAAGAATAGTCTTCTTCAAGGAAGTTTTTCTAATACAGAAAACAAAGTAAACCGAAATAATTATGTGAAATTTTTCTTCCACAAACAGAAAACAAAATATTGGTCCATAACTGAAAACTGACTTTCATAAAACCCATAGGATAGTAGGATTTTTTTTTGTTTTATAATGTTTAAATTTAGTGAAATTATATAAATAGAAATTCTGTTAATCAAGGCTGACTACAATTGCTATAAAATATTTTTCATTAAATTATCATTATTCTCTATAAACTTCAATTCAACTAATTGTTTTCCTTTTGATTGCACTTTTTTAAGTTGTGCAGTAATTAGTTTTCTATTAAATCGAGAGTACCCACTACAGATATAGAGACTGTTGACACCAGAAAACTTTGTTTTAGATCAGCTATATTTAAATAGATAAAGTGTGTATGTGTTGGCTTGCATTCAAAATAGTAACATTACCTTTTGCTCAAATTCAATAAAATATGATCTCAGAATAGTTTTCCCTCTTCATTAAATTCAATTTTAATTGTGCAGGCAGTAAATATATTATTCTTTTTAATAACGTTTTTCTTCAAGATAACCCAAACTTCAACATTGACAGTGACCTCACACTCTCACTAGAGGAAACAATTATTATTTTAAAGCATATCTTCCAGGCAATTTTTATGTGTCTGCAAACATAAATGTATCCATAAAAACACAGAACATTACTTAGATTTAATTTCGTTTTGTAAACATTGATACTACACGTATTATTATTAGAACTTTGTCAACACTGTACAACTTGCTTTGGAAACACATTCACATTGCTACACACACACATACATACATATAGAAAATTAATAATTTTGGTCAATTTTTTGCAATTGCATTATATTCCATAGTATGACAGATTATTTAGTCACTGCCTTATTTAGTTTGCTTCAAATGTATCATGATTATTATTATTATCACTGTCGTTATGTGCTTAGCTTTTGTTGTTTCTCTTGAAGATTCCATGAAGCAAAGTTACTGGATCATAGATATGTAGGGAATATACCCTTAAAGTTCTTATTTTTTTTGGTGGGGGGGGGGGACAGCGTCTCACTCTGTGGCTCAGGCTGGAGGACAGTGGTGCAATCTCAGCTCACTGCAACCTCCTATTCCAGGGTTCAAGATATTTTTGTGCCTCTACCTCCCAAGTATCTGGGACCACAGGCGTGCACTGCCATGCCCAGCTAATTTTTGTATTTAGTAGAGTCCAGGTTTCACCATGTTGGTCAGGCTGGTCTTGAACTCCTGACCTCAAGTGATCCACCCATGTTGGCCTCCTGAAGTGCTGGGATTACAGGCATGAGCCACTGTGCACACTCCGCCTACCCTTAAAGTTTTGATAGATTATGTTAATTATCTCACAAAGATGTAATTCTTCTATATGTTTAATAATATGTGATGTTATTCTACATTTAAACCTATTATTTTATTTAATTTAAAACAGATGCTACATAGTATTAAGATCATTTTAACATTTCAGTGTTACTTGCCGAATGTCAAACAACTGTAAAAAGTACAAGCCGTAATACAAACCATGTTGGTGATGTAATATCTTACTGCTAATATTTTTACTTTGTGTATACATGCATGTTTACATTGCACTGACACAATAAACACAATATTTTCAATTACAAAGCTGACTTCAATTTCTTAATTGAAAATATTGTGTTTTCTGTGCCATTAACTCTTCATGTACATGGAGATCAGGGTTGCCATGTAGAGAAACCCACGACATGGAAAGAGAAGCAATCAGTCAAATTGTGCAGAGGGTTATGTCACCAAGAGAGATGGGCTGAAGGAAATACACCAGCACTATAGCACTAAGGTCAAAGGGTATAACTGCTACTACAAAACATTTCAAACTATATTTTGCAACATGCCCTCAACATTCAAAATCCTGAGCAGGATCATCAGATTGACTGCACATGTACCTTAGCTGTGGGTCTACAGAAAAATAAAGGATCTGGTTTCTGTGTCGTGAAACCTTCTCACCATACATTTGTTACCACCAATAGGTCATTCTTGCAAGTTAGGGAGAGGGTTAAGTGTTGGCTAAATCTAAAAGATAACAGATTTCTAACTTGTTTTTACACTTTACTGTCTGCATTAATGTATAATGTAGTTTTCAAAACCCATATCATATAGCTTATAATTTTAATTTTAATATAATTCCAGTTTATCTTTAAACATCAAGTTGTACTTAGACCAAAGTTATTGTTAAAACATTTATGTGGTCTTTATTATTCTGTTCGTAATATTACACATTTAGAATGATGGTGGATGCTTTCACTACAAACTTGGTACCACAGCATTTTCTGTTTTCTCTTGGAAATCTCTGAAGTTTACAAGACTATGGAGAATGAAGTAGAAACTCCACTGTGAGAAATAAGAAAAAACACTATAAAATATTTATTCAGGTTGTCAAAAGCTATTTGCATTTTATAATAGTCATGCAAAAGTGAAGGAGAGCAGCCTTGGAGAAATTTCAGTGTTGCGAGCCCAATGTCAGAAAGGAAGAACAAGAGTAACATTCCTGATTCTACCCCATTGATTAAGTGTACAAACAGAAGACAAGCCCATGTTGAGATTCACACATAAAAGCTACCTGAAAATATTCTTGTCTTTGAGGCAATTGAAAAGAAGAAAATCTTTGCATTGTGATTTTTTATTAAAAGATAAATAGACCCAAACCAAACCACTCTGGAATTATGTCTTCCCTAGGAATTCCTTACAAATAATTGAACTAGTAAGACCCAAATTATTCTGTGAGAGCAACAAACAGTTCTAGAAAACATATTTTGCCAAGGAGCAGATTAAAGTTTTGAACAAGTACTTCACATCAGAGGGTGAAACTAAATTAATCTTTTGGCTCAGACCAGCAAAAATGCAAGAATATCTCTTACCAGATGTTTAATAGAGATCTCAAAAGTAATATTGCTAAAAGAGAATACCTGGTTCTGTTTTTAAAGATGCATTCCCCCATTCTTCTCACATTCAATTGCCATTGATATGATATATTTGATTAAATAATAATTCCTAGTGTCATTCTTGAGCCCTTCTTATTCTTTAGCAAGCCTCAAGAACTCTAGCTCTATAAATTATTTAAAATTCTAAAAATTGTAGAGATTCATAGTTGTCAGCAAAATATTATGCATATTGAACAGTATGTTTAAAAGATGTATGTATTTTTAAATAGGATTTTCACTAGAGAGTTGTTTTCAGAACAAAGAATTTAAGGGTGCCGTACTTGACATCAAAAATATATTTTGTGGGCCGGGTGCAGTGGCTCAGGCCTGTAATCCCAGCACTTTGGGAGGCCAAGGTGGGTGGATCATCTGAGGTTAGGAGTTTGAGACCAGACTGGCCAACACGGTGAAACCCCATAGCTACTAAAAATAAAAATAAAATAAAATAAAAATTTTAGCCAGGTGTGGTGGCAGGCGCCTATAATCCTAACTACTCGGGAAGCTGAGGCAAGAGAATAGCTTGAACCTGGGAGGCAGAGGTTGCAGTAAGCCAAGATCATGCCATTGCACTCCAGACTGGGTGACAGCGAGGCTCTGTCTCAAAAAATAATCTGTCATCTCTCTCTCTCTCTCTCTCTCTCTATCTATCTATTGGAAATGAAATGTCCTGTTACCACTGAGAAAATGATATATCAATAAATACGGTACATATAATTAGACATTAGGCCCAGAGGACTTGTCCAGTGCTCTGTACACTTTTGGACTTGGCAATAATTGGAAATACATCACTTCATTGTGTATGTGCACATAAACTTTCATTATCTAGCACTATCAGAATCAATCAGGGGAGAACGCTGCATTCTGACCCTGGACAGCATCATAACTTATGTTTTCCTGAATTTGAAGAAATATCTAAAGGTTATTTGTTCTCGAGAGCACAGGGAAATAAAATTAGCTGCATTCATTTTAAGGCATTAGTGAATTTACTGTTTTATAGCCAATATTAAGCCTAATCCAAGAATACTCAAAAAACCCAATTAAAAAAATTTAATTTATATATTCAGCACCAAAACATGTATTACTTTTTGTGAGTACAAATATGTATTGAATACAAGTAAATAGAAATTTATTTTCTATATAGTTGGGTAGCATTAAACCATTTTACCACTTAGATTGTTGTGTTAGGTTCATCAGAGACATGTACACATACACATGCACACACATATCTCATTTGAATAAATATAATCATTGTCTTTCACATTAAATGACATGATATCGCTAATATGGCTATTAACTTGAAACAATTCAATTAAATAAGTTAAAAACAAAGTCTATAGAAAATTATCAAAAGTATATTATTATTATTATTATCATCATTATTGTTATTTGAGGCAGACTCTCGCTCTCTCACACAGACTGGAGTGCAGTGGTATGGTCTTGGCTCACTGCAACCTCCGCCTCCCAGGTTCAAGTGATTCTTGTGCCTCAGCCTCCCATGTAGCTGGGATTACAGGTGTGTGCCACCACGCCTGGCTAATTTTTTTTTTTTTTTTTTGTATTTGTAATAGAGATGGGTTTTCGCCATGTTGCCCAGGCTGTTCTCTAACTCCTGGGCTCAGGCAATCCAACCACCTTGGCTTCCCAAAGTGCTGGGATTACAGGTGTGAGCCACTGCACCCAGCCAAAAGTATATTATTTTTAATAGTTGTCATATGTTTTGTTCTTCTACAGCTAATGAAAAATGCATATTTCTGTGATGTAAATAATTATTTTGCCATGAAATATTAGATTTCTCAAGAATATGTTGAGCACACTGAAAAGAGAATAAAAAAGCATTATGGAAAATTCATTTCTTATAGAGGGATGATCAATTGTATATTGCATGAATCAGAATAAAACAGCAGCATTTTTCAGACTATATTGAATAATCCAACAGCCTCCACAACTTCTTAAATTGAATTCAGTACAAACTGAAGAATGATGGATAATCAGCACTCCTAGAAACATTTACTATCAGAAAAATGATTAATGTAATGCAATTAAAAATACTTAATGTAGAAAAAAGATATTCAAAAAAAAAGTACTTATCTTTTTTCTCTGAATTTTCAAACTGATTCTTTTCCGTATTACTGGATCAAAGTGGGCTGCAAGTTTGAGTGTCAAAGTTTTACTCTCGTGCTGAATCTCCTGAATCGCATCACAAAAGACTGGTTTCCTGAAGATCCATCCTAAGTAACATTGCCAGAGAAAATACAAGACACTCAGTTGAATTTGAATTTCAGATAAAAGCAAGATAATATTCCAAAATAAAAGAATCATAAAGGCTTCATGACATATACTAACATATTATTTATTGTTCATCTGAAAAATAACTTTAACTCGGTGTCCTGGATTTCTATTTGTTAAATCTGTCAATCTTAATTTTAAAAGAGTGCTTATCATTGATCAGTATTTGTGTGGATATTTCCTTGTGGATGTAATACAATCCCTACTACACACCTAATTAGAATAGTTCATGCTTTAAACGTGTAGCTCTTTTTTTCAAGTTGCTATCTCAGATTCAGCCATTCAAGGAAGACGACGTTAGGTTTTCTTCGTGTTGTAATTCAGCAGATGTGCTAAAAAATTGTTTAAAAATCAGAAATAAGAGAGACAGACTGTCCTCACAAACTAGCCGTGTTTGGCGCTGTGAGATTATTGATTACTCTACTTTGTCAGAGATATTGTCAAACAATCTGTCATGAAATGGGGACTAAGAACAAATTAAAATTTAAAAATAAATGGAAAGCTGGCAGAGTTCTGGTATTTCAGAGAAAAAAAATATTTATCCAAATAAGCCTTATATTTAAATTGTAGTTGAAAAAAAAACTAGGTAGAGAGGGAAGAAAGCTTTTAAATTTCCATATATGTCTAAAACAAGTATCTAATATTTTACTTCCTATCAGGAGTTTTCTATTAGTTTCACTCATTCATTAACATTTATGAAGCAGCTGCTATATTTCAGACCCTAGGTTAGTTGAAAAATGATGGACAAAATAGGTCTGGCCCTTATAGATTTCAACATCAACATTAGAAGGGAAATTATTAAACAGGCAATTGCAATCAGTCAGTAAGTTCTGTGGATAATACTTTACGACTTCTGTAAGTAGATACCTCTTTTAAACCACACTATTTCCTATCCTTCCCTCTTTTATTCTTTTTTTCCTGCCTCTGTGTGTGTGTGTGTGTGTGTGTGTGTGCATGACAGGGTTTTGGTTTGTTGTCCAGGTTGAATTGTAGTGGTGATCATAGCTTACTGCAGCCTTGAAGTCCTGGTTTCGAGCCATTCTCCCACATTAGCCTCCCAAGTAGCTGGAGTAGTGGGACTATGGGCACTTGCCACTATATCTGAGTTTTTGTTTTCGTTTTTGTTTTATTTTGTAAAGATGGAGTCTTACTAAGTTGCCCAGGTGGGTCCCAAACTCCTGACATCAAGCAATTCTCAAAGTGCCGGGATTATGGGCATGGGCCGCCAAAGTGCCCCATCTTTTTTCTTTCTGTCTTTTTTTGTATGATTCCTGTCTCGCCATCTGTTCACTGACTTTGAAATTGCATTGTTAACGTAGGACAACAACAGAAAGAAAAAAATATCTTTCTGCTGTTGTTGCTGTTGGTTCAGTATAAGATATGGAAGGAAAAGTTTTTTTCAGAGAGAGACAAATGTTCTCAATTTCCATTTTTTCCTTATGTATCAAAATCTAAGACTTATGGTAACCAAGATAGGGCTGGGGGCCAGAAACCAATACCCCAAAATACAGTGCATTGACTTCGTAACTGTAGAAGCAGCTGCAAGGCCTGTGTGATCTTCTTCTTACCTGCTCTGTTTCTCAGTCTTCTATCTCTCCCAAAGGACAAGATGAGGCTGTTGTATGAAGTTCACTATCTACCTAGAAACCAGATGCCCAAAAAGGAACAAAATTGCCTTCCATCCCCTTCCTGATATCTTATTATCTATCTTAGAAAAGAAAATTGAGGAATGCAACCATACCTGGACATTTCACAAGATAACGTCTGCCTCAAAGCCTCATTCACATTCTAAAGAGAAATATTTACAACTTAATCTTGGTCTCCAGATCCATTTATTTTCCCTAAAAATCTTTTGCTCCTGCTCCCCCACTACCTTCTCCCCAATTAAAAGGGCATTCAAGCATCAACCATCTGGCCCTGTTCTTAAGTTTTAATGTTTTGTATGACTTCCATATTGGCGTGCACATATGTGCATGCAATAATTGTGTTATGTTTTTCTCTTGTTAACCTGTCTTCTGTTATAGGGGTGCTGTTTTAGACCCTTTATGATGAAAAGTAAACGAATTACCACCTATCTGCTCCTACAACTTTAGCTTTCGTGAGTCTTATTAGCTTCGGTAAATCTACAATTTACATGTGTAAAGGGGGAATAGAGGAAAATATTGGTACATAGTCTCTTACTCTTGAATCTACATTTTATATAAAATAAAGTAAATGTGAAAAGATAGAGGAGAGGAAATAAGGCTATAACAACGAGTTCTGAAATTACAGCTACTTGTTTGGGAATAAAAGAAAAACAGTATTGGTGACTCAGTTCCCAAGCTTAATTGTTTCTTTGGCACAGTGAGTTTGGGACACTGGGATTCTATTTTGCTTTCACATGTTGTAAATTCTTTCTCATCTTATTTGAGATGTAAATATTGGGGGGAAAAAAGGTTTTTTGACAGTCTTAAAACACAGGGATCTCTTTCACAAGAATCTGAGAGCCATTGCTTTGAAATGTCATCATCAAAAAGTACCCACATCTCTCTGTTTCTATGAGAGGGTGGAAGTCTACCTTTGTGGGCACCTTGTTCTGAGTTATAAAGCCACCTCCTGTCATGAAGATAAGAAAAAGTTTTCTTCTTTCTTGCATAAAGTCAATACACATGGTCTATGATCCTTCAAACCCCATCTCTTAAAAATACTCCAGCTTCTTGTTTCATGAAAGTTGAGCTCAGACTGAGTTCTGGCCTCTCAGCCCTATTATAGGAGCCTTCTGCGAGTGTTCTTTCACTGTTTAACTTTGTCCTGTTCAACTTTTGCTTTGACAGTTGATTCAAAAGAGTCGCAGAATGTGATATAAACAAATAGTCCACCAGGAAGAAATAAGACATAATATAAGTGAAGGTCTCACAAGTCAGAATGTGAAAATAAGAAATTCTCTTACCATACCTGGAAAAAGATTTAAAGTAGTTGAAAATAATCTGAAAAAGAAAATATTCAATTACGTTGTAGTTAAAAATATAGAAAGTTGCTGGTGCCGCACTTCCACTGGAACTCAGGTAAAAAGGTGTTTTGTTGAGAATCTGTGTCACCGCTGAGTGAAATGGAAGTGTACTGTGTTTACACAGAAAGGGGGCATAAAATAGTTACCCATCCTCACAGACACACATAGTATTACTCCCACGGGGTCTACCTTGTTTGCTTCATCAGAAGAGATACTTTCAAAGGTTCTTTCTCCTCTCAAGTAGTCCAAGTTGGTACAAGAGAGCCAGTATATCTGCTAAGGATTCATCACTGAATGGGGCAAGGAAACCATTCACTAAGCTGCAGGTTGGAAAGACAAAATCTGGGAAAAGAAGGGAAAGCAAGATTACTGAGTCTCAGAAATTACAAGCATCAGCAAAGAGTGGAATTGAGCCTAATCTTCAGGGAGGGTGATATGGTTTGGCTCTGTGTCTCCACCAAAATCTCTTGTCAAATTGTGATCCCCATGTGTTGGAAGACAGGCTTGGTGGGAGGTGATCAGATCTTGGGGGTGGATTTCCCCCTTGCTGTTCTTGTGATAGTGAATGAGTTCTCATGATATCCGGCTGTTTAAAAAGGTGTGTAACGTTTTGCCCTTCTCTCTCTCTCTCCTGCTGCCATGTGAAGACCTGTTTGCTTTCCCTTTGGCCTTCCGCCATGATTGTAAGTTTTCTGAGGCCTTCTTTCCATGCTTCCTTTACAGCCTGTGGAATTGTGAGTCAACGAAACCTCTCTTCTTCATATATTATCCAGTCTCCAGTAGTTTTTTGTAGCAGTGTGAGAATGAACTAATACAGAAAATTGATACTGGGAGTGGGGCATTTCTATAAAGCTACTTGAAAAGGTGGAAGTGATCTTGGAACTGGGTAATGGGCAGAGGTTGAAACAGTTTGGAAGGATCAGAAGCAGACAGAGAAATAAGGAAAAGTTTGGAACTTCCTAGAGACTTGTGGAATGGTTTAGACAAAAATGCTTATAGTGATATGAACAATTAAGTTCAGGCTGAGGTGGTCTTAGAAGGAGATAAGGAATTTATTGGGATCTAGAGTAAAAGTCACTTTTCCTATACTTTAACAAAGAGACTAGTGACATTGTTCTCCTTCTCTATAGATCTGTTGAAATTTGAACTTGAGAGACATGATTTAGGGTATCTGGCAGAAGAAATTTCTAAGCAGTAAAGCAGTCAAGAGGAGGCCTGGTTTCTTTTAAATGCCTAGATCATTGCATTAACACAGAAATGACCTGAAACTACAATTTACATTTAAAAGAGAGGCAGAGCATAAAAGTTTGGAACAATTGCAACTCCACCTTATAAAAAAGAAAAACCCATTTTCTGGGGAGAACTTCAAGGCTGCAGAAATTTGCATAAATAAAGAAGAACTGAATGTTAATAGCCAAGACAATGGAGAAAATGCCTCCAGGGCATTTCAAAGACTTTCATGACAGCCCTTCCCATCACAGGCCTGGCAGCATAGGAGGGAAAAAATAGTTTTGTGGGCCAAGTCCAGAGCCCTAGTGCTCTGTGCAGCTTTGGGACATGGTGCGCTGTGTCCCAGCTGCTCTAGTTCCAGCCATGGCTAAAAGGGGCCAAGATACAGCTTGGGCTGTTGCTTCAGAAGGTGCAAGGATGGTGCCTTCCACATGGTGTTTTAGCTTGTGGGTGCGCAGAAGGCTAAACTTGAGATTTTCAAGCCTCTGCCTAGATTTCAGAGGATATAGGGAAATGCCTAGATGTCAAGGCAGAAGTCGGCTGCAGGGATATAGCTCTCATGGAGAACCTCTATTAGGACAGTATGGAGAGGAAATGTTGGGTTGGAGACCCCCCGTAGAGTCCCTAGTGGGGCACTGCCTAGTGGAGCTGTAACAAGAGAGCCACCATCCTCCAGACTCCGGAATGGTATGTGAACCTACAGCTTGCATCATGCACCTAGAAAAGCCACAGACACTCAATGCCAGCTCATGAAAGGAGCAGCTGGAGCTGTACCCTGCAGAGCCACAGAGGCCAAGCTATCAAAGGTCTTGGGAGCTCACCCCTTGCATCAGTGCAGCTTGAATTTGAGACACGGAGTCAAAGAAGAGTAGCTTTAAGATGTAGTGACTGCCCTGCTGGGTTTCAGACTTGCATGGGGCCTGTAGCCCCTTGGTTTTGGCCAGTTTCTGCCTTTTGGAATGGGAGCATTCACCCAATGCTCGTACCCCTATTGTGTCTTGGAAGTAACTTACTTGTGGTTTTATAGGCTCATAGGTGGAAGGATTTGCCTTGTCTCACATGACACTTTGGACTTGGACTTTTAAGTTAATGCTGGAATGAGTTAAGACTTTGAGGGGCTTTGGGGAAGGCATACTTGTGTTTTGAAATGTGGGGAGGACATGAGATTTGGGAGGAGCCAAGGGTGGAATGATACAGTTTGGCTCTATGTCCCTACCCAAATCTCATGTCAAATTGTAATCCCCATGTGTTGTATGAGGGGCCAGGTGGGAGA
Source organism: Homo sapiens (assembly GCF_000001405.40). Lineage (NCBI taxonomy): Eukaryota > Metazoa > Chordata > Mammalia > Primates > Hominidae > Homo > Homo sapiens. Next base: position 18,629,649 of record NC_000005.10, on the reverse strand, counting down.
TGACTCAATCACGGGTGAAAACTCCCCCATTGCTGTGCTTGTGTTAATGAATGAGTTCTCATGAGATCTGGTTGTTTTGAAAGTGTGTAGTTCCTCCCCCTTCTCTCTCTCTCTCTCTTGCCACCACGTGAAGATGTGTTTTCTTCCCTTTCACCTTCTGTGATGATTGTAAGTTTCCTGAGGCCTCTCAGTCATGCTTCTTGTACAGCCTACAGAACTGTGAGTCAATTAAACCTCTTTTCTTCATAAATTATCCAGTTTTGGGTAGTTCTTTATAGCAGTGTGAGAATAAACTAATGCAGAGGGAAAGAGTGAAACAACATCAATCTATCTCTCTGCTTTCTCTGGACGGAATACATAATACAACTTACACTACTACTAATGCTTTAGTAAAATAAATTGAAGCTCAGGCCCTTCAATTATTGAAAGAAGTGGCATCGAAGTTAAATCCCAACTATTGGTGTTATGCAGGTAAAGAGAGTGTCATAACCACATTTGCATTTAGTTTTCCAGTTATGCCTGAATTCTGGAGAACAGACAGGAGCTCATCAAAATGAAAGACAAGAAGATCATATAGGATAGCCCAGAAGTAAAAGGCCAGTTAATAAGACATGTTTGAAATAGTTTATGTGGAGAAAGAGAACACTGCCGGAAAAATGTAGCTAGATGGGTGGAAAAATCTGATGTCAATAACTGATAATTATGAGGCTCAATAATTATTATTTTATTGGGCTTGGCATATGAATATGTGGTTTCCAGAAAAGAATCAAAATGAGTCAAAAATGATTCATAGGTTTCCAGTATGGGCAACTCATAGACACAAAGAGGGTCTTGTTATTGACTGAGGTAAGCAATGATGGAGTAAGTTTTAATCACATTTATATTTAAGAACCAGTAAGGTATTAAAGTAGAGCTATCCATTGGGCATTTGCATATATGAGTATGCATTTTCAAATCTGAATTGGAAATGTAGATATTGGTATTGTTGAAGCCTGAATATAAATCATTACCCAAAACTTTAAAATGAAAAAAGAAAGATGATTAAGTTTATACTAATATTTAAGGTCAGAAAAGAGGAGCAAGTATAAAAAATACCAAAGAAACACCAGAGACCTAAGAAGAAAGGCAACACAGTACCATGAAAGCCAAGGAGAGCATTTCATCAAGAATGGAGTAGCCAGGCAGGTCAATATTTTCAGTAAGTCAAGTAGGATAAAAACTACACGAGTCAATTAACTTTAAATGTAAAATATTTACTTCATATGTTGGACTTGGACTTTTAATAAACTTAAAACTAAACTTTTGATAATAAACATTACTCTTCTCAAATTGTAGGTTGAGAAGTTGCATCACATATTGTATAGAGCAAACAACTTGTGAAGTTGCTCTACTCTAATTCTCTGGCTCTTTCCATTCAGATACATTGTCTTCTTCTGGGGGACAAAATATTTTCAATATTTGGGAAAACAAAATTTCAATCTTTCATAACAGGAATGTCCCCTGGAAAGGAACGTTTTAGTCAAAGAGTTTCATTGACCCAGTCTAATATAAGGCCATGGTACCTACAACCACATGATGGAGACCTCGTGTATTTTTAAAATGCAGATTATAGGAAACAGTATACTCCATTGCCTTACACTTGTGCTAGGATCCAATAAGGCCATAGTTAGAGGAAATGTGGAAACAACTAATCTCTTCTAAATATCTCAAGATTTTTGTCATGCTTCTGTAGCTCAAGTTAAGCTCATAAGATTCATTAAAATATAAAATAATAAAGCCATACAATAGGCATATCTAAGTAAGGATATTTAAATGTTTCTTCAAGATAGCAGTTAATGAATCCTAGCTATGCCTCTAATCCCCAGAGAATTTCTGTAGCTATAGGCATGCCATGTAATCACATATTTAAGTGCACTTTCACTAAAATAAATTAATAAAAAGTAGATAAAATAAACTAAAAGCCATAGAATCTCAGATATTTTATCATCCACAATAAGCTAACACTATGGTATCTAGTAGCCACAGGTGTTTTTTTTTTTTTTTTTTAATTATACTTTAAGTTTTAGGGTACATGTGCACAACGTGCAGGTTTGTTACATATGTATACATGTGCCATGTTGGTGTGCTGCACCCATTAACTGGTCATTTAACATCAGGTATATCTCCTAATGCTATCCCTCTCCCCTCCCCACACCCAACAACAGGCCCCGGAGTGTGATGTTCCCCTTCCTGTGTCCATGTGTTTTCATTGTTCAATTCCCACCTATGAGTGAGAACATGCGGTGTTTGGTTTTTTGTCCTTGCGATAGTTTGCTGAGAATGATGGTTTCCAGCTTCATCCATGTCCCTACAAAGGACATGAACTCATCATTTTTTATGGCTGCATAGTGTTCCATGGGGTATATGTGCCACATTTTCTTAATCCAGTCTATCATTGTTGGACATGTGGGTTGGTTCCAAGTCTTTGCTATTGTGAATAGTGCCACAATAAACATACATGTGCATGTGTCTTTATAGCAGCATGTTTTATATTCCTTTGGGTATATACCCAGTAATGGGATGGCTGGGTCAAATGGTATTTCTAGTTCTAGATCCCTGAGGAATCGCCACACTGACTTCCACAATGGTTGAACTCGTTTACAGTCCCACCAACAGTGTAAAAGTGTTCCTATTTCTCCACATCCTCTCCAGCACCCCACAGGTGTTTTTTGAGTATCAGAAATATGGCTAGTCTCAACTGAAAGCTATTACAATGGTAAAATACTGGATTTCAAAGAATAGGGTAAAGTAATCCTTTTAATAGACTTAGTATGGATTTTATGGTTAAATTATAATAAATTTACATATAGGATTAAATAAAATATATTATTAATATTGCTATCACATAATTCTTTTTACTTTTCAAATATGAACACTAGAAAATTTACATATATGGCTCACATATATTGGACATTGTGCCTAAAGTATCATCTTACTAGTCTTATTAATTTACATGGTTTTAGTCCTTCTAAAAAAATCTTAGAAACCCTAAAGCAATCTTATCATTTTAGTATTACTGAGAAAATTGGAAAATCATCTAATTAACTAGAAGAGCGTAACAAAAAAGGAATAATAACAGGGCTATTTTGAATACCACTGGTCATATTTCAGAAAGAATAATAAAGAACTAGACTAGATAGGGAATGAATTAGAACATTGGTAGCTGCCAGATGTAGCTAGTTATGATCCTAGAGCTTTAGAATCTATCCCTTGACTTAATCAAATAAGTGTTCTTATTGTATTTGTAACTATTTTTTAAAGCCTAAAATGGGAAGTAAAGTCTAATTTGAAGAGGTCAAGCCAGATGTTTTTGTTTCAAATAACTAAATGTATGTATGTATGCAGTTAAGAAACAGAGAATTCAGGCTCAGTCATCATTTATTATGACAGGTACCTCCATCATAAGACAGGTTGTCTCCATGTTTATTTCATTTAATTTTTAATTAAAGAAAACTTTTGATAATAAATGTTATTCTCCCAAATTATAGGTTGAGAAGTTGTGTCACATATTGTATGGAGCAAACAAGTTATGAAGTTCCTCTACTCGAACTCTCTGGCTCTTTCCATTCAGATATGCTGTCTTCTTCTTGGTGTCAAAATATTTTCAATATTTGGGAGAACAAAATTTCAATCTTCTATAACATGAATGTTCACTGGAGAGGAATCAAATTTAAATTCAGAAAACAAAAATGTTTATATCAAAGGTAGAGCTTACATATAATCAGGCTTTACTTGCCCAACACTGAACTCAGTAGAGTGCTACATTCAAACTTATTTTTTATCTCCCAAAATAAATAAGTGCATTATACTTAGCAAATTAAAAATTTTAAAGGTATTTAGCCATGGCTAATTGACTCTCATAAATAACCCTGGCAACAAACAGACTTAGATTTTAATTTTCTAGTTGAAGAAAGTGAGCATACATGACACATGACTCCTAAAAGACCAGAATTATTGTCTTATTTTCTTTCCCTAGGTTCAACTTGTGCTAATAGTTACAGATTCAAATTTAATTTTTAAAATATGTTCCTTTGTTAAGTAAATAATGTAACAACTTTACAAAAAAGAAACATTTTTGTATAAAAATGTTAGGATTAAAGATATGCAAATTTTTAAAACGTGCCTTTGTGAAATTTAGGTGCATAAATAAGTTTGATATTGAACATATGATAAACTTGAGGAATACATACGACTATATAATTATTCATCATTTGCAGAATAATATCACATAATTTTATTAAATTTGATGCACATAAATTACCCTTATCTATTATGCAAAGTTGCTTCTATAAATGCCAACATAGAACTATATAATGGGATTTGAGTTGTACTTGTTATTAATGAATGTTTAGCCTAAGTCTTAATTTACAACTCGTGACCTTTTTCCACAAAGAAATTTTTCTAGTGATGTGATATATGCATTCACTTTTGCATGTATTCACTCTAGAATCTTCAAGTTCATTTAAGTTGTCTAAGGCTATTTAAGGGAAAGTGAATACGGCTTGGGTTTCAGACTATGCTAGAGCTCCTGATACTCAGTCTCATCAAATTCACTGTGAAGAGTCCCATCAAATGCTTTGCAGGGTGCCACATAATTTCCAAGGTCATTCATGCTTATACAGGCAAGCTGCCTGATAGCAGACCGGTCAGATACGTGAGAGTAAAAACAAGGAAAGAGCTCTACGAAAGGTGCTTTAGAGGCAAGACATTGATCCCAAATGAAAAACATGTTCTATGTATAAATAGAAGCACATTGATTCAATGAATTATCTGGTGAGTACTAAAGTTGTTTAATCACGCTAATTAGGTGCCACTTGAAGACATTCATTTATTATCACCATCACACGCACTGTCATAAGCAAAATTTTCTACAGCTCATTAACGAGTATCTGTGTCATCACATCTTAGGAACTTTATTATTACCTTGTATTCTTTAGGTTTAATTATGCCTTGCTCCTACTGAAAAAAGATCATTCAAAAATACATACGCTGAAAGCTAAAATGTTTTTAATCAGTTATTAGCATCTCACAATTTATTTTTTCTGTTCCAAAAGAATATTTTTATTTACCAAGCAGTGACTTTAGAAAGTTTTTTTCTTTCTTGAGTGTTCCCCTTAGGCTTACTATTTAAGAATTCTATTACTGATGACTTCTTAATGACAATCATTTAATGTTTATATTATCTATTAGTGTTATAGACAGTCTAGGACATTTGTATTTCTTAAAAGCTCCAAATACGAGTAATCTTCCATGTAATATTTGACCTACCATCTTACCTGTCTTGGTTGCTGAATTTAGTGATTCTACAAGTACTCATTTCATGTTCTATGTTCTTAAGGTATTTCAAAGATCTTCCTTCAGGGAACATACATTCTCAGGATAGATAAAACATAAAACATAATAGGCTAATCACATAAAATATTTAAAAAATGAGATTAAGAAAATCTATAGCATTAAAAAAATTGAAATTTGCAAAACATTCACTGGCACAGCCACACATACATGTATGTATATATGAACTTGTCCACAAACATGTCCACATACACATTCATGTCCACGTAAACATCCATATTATTTCTACATCTATATCTTTATCTCTATCTGTATCTGTATTGTACCTATAACTACATATACCTGCCAAACCCCCATATTCACTTTCAAAATGCAATTAATTCCAAATTGTTAAGATTTTCTTGGCACCTATTTCTTTATTCTTAAATGATATATTTATAGTGCTCTTGATTTTTCAGTTTTAAACATCAATTACTTGCTTCCTGTAATGATAGTTGATGATTAAACTCATCTTAAGAATTTGTTATATTAGAAGTAAATTTGTGGTTTTATTCATGACCGAAAAAGAAACCGCTATTCTGCCTTCCCACTAGCTTTTTTGAGTTTTGTTGGAAATTAAATACTGGGTTAAAAATATTTTTAAGATATTGTATCCTAGCATTTTGGTATTCAGTACTGCTGATGAGAATAGTAGCATCCACCTGTTAGGGGAAGAGACATCCTTAAGCTGTCTCATATATGTATTGCAAATAGAGGCACTGACCACCCTGTTCCAAACTACATCTTCAAGGATATTTTTAGAGTAAACAGCTATGGAATATAGAGATAATGTCTCCATCTGGAGCAGTGGATATGCATATTTACTGCCCATTATAAAAATCCTTTTCCCAAAGTGGTCCACCGTGTGTGCAATTGTCCAGTGGTTCCCTTCCCTTTACTTTCTAAAAATTAAGGTTTGGTGAACTGTGCAACACAATGCTGTTACTATGGCTAATCCTATTGCTGTGAATATTAAAATCCTTTGTTTCTGACCAAGGAGTCTCATATCTTCTACCACCATTTGTAAATTTGTCACAGGTTTGCATGCTAGCTTGCAAAAAGAGTAGAATTTAAAGAGCCTTCAAGGTTCTCAACAATATCTTAGATAGCCCCCACTCCCTCCAGCACCAGAATTTGCCAACATCAGGCATAACTTTCCCAGGCCTGGTAGAGGAAAATGTATATTTTCCCAAGGCACAATCTCTCATTTCCTCGATAATTGTTCTGGAACATATACTTTTTGCAAATTACAGAACCTACCACTTCCCCTTCATCTCCAAGATAATTATAATATTTTTTACTCTTTAGAATTTTAACTTCTGAAACAGATATAATAAACATTTCTTAAATGCCCCTTTTTAATACTTTCTCTTGACCTATACAATTATCAGCAAACCAACAAGGCAGTTTATTGTTTTTCTGCCAATTATCCTTTATTACAAAAGTATTAAATTTTCAATTACAGTGTTTTCTAAGCCTGTCTTAACTACAGTTCATCAATGTTTCTGAAACCATCCTAGGCTACTGAAGTTCTACCTACTTTTGTTCCACTCCCACTCCATGGTATGTACAGTAGCCATTTCCTTTCTTTAAGAATTCTTTTTTTTTTGTTTTGTTTTGAGACAGAGTCTCGCTCTGTCACCCAGGCTGGAGTTCAGTGGCACAATCTTGGCTCAGTGCAACCTCTGCCTCCCAGGTTTAAGCGATTCTTGTTCCTCAGCCTCCTGAGTGGCTTGGTGTGCAAAACCACGCCCCAGCTAGTTTTTGTATTTTTAGTAGACATGTGGCTTCGCCATATTGGCCAGTATGGTTTCCTGACCTCAGGTGATCCGCCCACTTCGGCCTCCCAAAGTGCTGGGATTACAGGCGTGAGCCACCACACCCAGCCCTCTTTAAGGATTCTTAAACATTCCAGAGGAGTTCTGCACTGTGGATGGTACAAGTTTTATACCACCAAATTCAATGTGTAAAATATGTGATTCTTAAAATGTTTCCATGCCTCCACTTATTATCTATTTTAACTACTAATGTAGTTCATTTGTTTGAATTATACTCATAAAAATTAAAGTAAAATATAGTATGTTTATTATTTTTCAAGTAATTAAGAATCCTAAAATTATTCCAATATTTACTTTAATAATAGTGGCTAACATGTAATACTCAAGTTTGAGGCACTTTTCTGAGTGCTTTACATGTACATAGCTCCTTTAATTATTACAACAATTAGAAATTAATTTTTTTTTCCAAGGACAGTGGCTTATGGCTTATGCCTGTAATCTCAGCACTTCGGGAAGCAGAGACAGGAAGATAGCTTGAGCCCAGGAATTCGAGACAATCCTGGGCAACATGGCAAAACCCTGTCTTTACTAAAAATACAAAAATTAGCTGGGCATTGTGGCACGTGCCTGTAGTCCCAGCTACTTGGGAGGCTGAGGTAGGGGAATTACTTGAGACTAGGAGGTAGAGGCTGCAATGAGCTGTGATCGTGTCACTGCACTCCAGCCTGGATGACAGAGCAGAACCTTGTCTCAAAAAAATAAAATAAAATAAAATAAATGAATAAATAAATTTTGCCTTCTCATTGACATTTATTTTTAAGAAAAAACTTTCAAACAGGTATTTCCGTATTAGACATTTCATTATGTACATTTAAAGACTATGTCATATAATTTATTACAAAGCACTTGAGCTATATGAGACATAATGTAAATTTTTACAAATATAAGAAATTTTATATCACATATTCAATTTACAAACTCAGATTTTTGTGTGCAGACACAGACTCAAATAATCATAAACATTTCCATTAAAATTTAGTAATAAAAATATTATAGTTTTATGACACAAATCTAAAAATAGAATTGTTTCTCTTAATTTGAAATGTAAAAGAAACGATGCAGAATTGGATTTGTAAGTGAGGTCCTACAGTTACAATCCTGATCATCCAAATGGACATGCATATATTTCACATTTAATTAGTGATCCCGTTTACAAATTGAGTGGTCGTTTGCAGAGTTCTAGGGCAATCTTTCAAGACAAGTATCCTTTGAGTTTATTCCCCTGATGTTTTTTAAGTTTAATTGGGAGTTTGAATCCATGTTGAAAGTATCAAGGAACATATATAAATTGTAAGTAAACCTACCTCTTGGATACAAATAAAATACTATAAATTGAAAAGTTTTGTTTGAGTGAACTTTATGGTGAGAAATACTGAAATGAATTATAGGAGATGCCAGAGCATTGTTTTAAGTAAAGGTCTCTGAGCGCATTTTTCTGATCATCTTGTTTAGTATTGTTCAAACATAGAATGCAATGAAGAGATGAAAGAAGAGGCAAGACCCAAATTTAAAAAAAAATTATATAATATAAAGTGGGTTTGATCCATTATGTACAGAAATAGAAAGTAGTTAAATATGCTGAATAAGTCTATGGCTTTTAAATTTGAAGCCTATAAAGATTATCCCAGTGGCATTATAACAGTTAGAACTGCTAGAGTTGGCTACAGTAGAGTGAATTAGTTCCACCTTATCCACGGAAGTGGCTGTATGCTTGGAGGGGAGGGAAAGATTTCTTGTGTATTTCCCATATATGGTGACATGATGGGCTCGAGCAGGCTTTTTGAATGTGGGGTCTGCAGATACCTGGGCCTCTGCTAGACACTTTTAGGACTTCCATGAGGACAAAATTAATTTACAAAGCTGCTATCTTGTCCTTTTCACTGTCATATTATCAGTTAAGTTTTCCAAAGCTACATTACTTGTGTGACATTATTCTCACAGGTAGTGGAATATGTGATTAGGTACTTTTCTGTGTTTAATATTTTCTTGTTTAACATATTGCATCTATCTACCAATAGAGCATCAAAGTTGATCGTATTTTGTTCTCAGTACCCCTTTTTAAAACTCTTAAATTATTGATGACTCCAAAATGATTGACGGCAATTGGAAGAGAAGCCTAGGATTTGTAGACAGATAAATAGAGATAGATAGATAGATGAATAGAGAGCTAGATAGATTTTTTTTTTCTTCCCTACATGCTTAACCATCCCATCTCCTGGTAACAGAATCTCTTCTGTGTTTTAAAGAAGCTTACCTGATTCTCTCCTGACATAATGTGAAGCACAGGGTCTCATGAAGCAGATCAGAGAACAGCCATTTCCTGGCCATTGTGATGGTTTAGGTTAGAGACCCAACTCAATTCAAGGCCAACCAAAGCTCTTATTCAGCATTTTTCTAGACATTGGGGAGTTCTGTGTCTAGAATTTCTGAGAAACAAATAAGTCTGAACAAATGACCAACAAGTTTACTATTATATGGAGACATCTTTACTGAAAATAAAGCCAACAGATACAAAGACCCAAGTGAGGGATGAATAAAATAAAATCCTGCTGGCATGATTTGTACTCCTAAAATCCCGCCAGTCAAATCTCTGTATATTAATACTTATTGTATTGTTTGTTTTTTTGTTTAACTATTCTGAATTTGACTTAAATGATCTATGTATGAAAGAACTCTGACAAATATAACTTGATTATTTGGATATTTTAGGCGTTATGATATTTTATTTTTGAACACATATTATGCTGAGTGCGTTATATGCAGTAAGCACAATTAATCATCCAAACTACAATGTGAAATGAACATCCTCATTTTCAAAATAAGCAAACTGAGACACACAGTCATAGAGATCATTAGTTGTGCAGACAGATTAAAAATCTAGAATTTTCTGTCTCTAGAGAACTTGGCTTTATTTACCTACTACAATTTCTTTTATTTCAAATATTAAATTATAGAAAGTAAAATCCAATAAATGAAAAACTTTGGGAATACACCAACTCCCCACTGTTTATGCAATGCATCTCTTGTTACCACAGTCATGTAACAAATTCATTTTCCAAGTTCGGAGCATGTGAATCTGGTTGTTTTTAGTTAGAAAAATTGCAGGTAGTATCATGTAACTTCTGTTTTAGACTTAAAGGAGAATTATAAATTTCAGCTTGAAGTGCCCTTTTGAAAGAAAATTAAAGCAGCAATTTTCTAAGCCGGGAAGTTCAAATGATCCCTTAAGAAGTATTAAGGACTTGTTTTTATAAAGCTACAAACACCTTTTTTTTTTTAATCTGATCTAATTTTTTTTTCACAACAAGTGCAATCTCAGGGCAGTTCTGACAATATTTCTATCTCGTTGTATAAATGAAGAAAACAATGGCTTAATCTCTTTTTCTTCAGCCAAGGAAGGACGTGATAAAAGTCTTGAGTCTATCCTGTAAGGAGAAATAATTCAAATGAGTTCTGAAAGTTTCACAGAAATTGTTTTTCTAAGAGTCAAACAATTTAACTTCCACATTGGAAAAATGCCAATAATATGTTCTGTGTATATATTCTGCTCTACCTAAGACATTTGTGGAGGTTTTTAAAAAGTTACTTAAAAATTTCAGCAATTGATCTGCTGTAAATCCAGTTATATTTGTGTAGGTGGTTGGGGAAGGTCCTGGAAGGCAATTGGGTGTACCACTGTTTGAAACTCAAATTTCCTATATTCTTGTAAATATCCAGAGGGACAAAATGTGACAATACCATTCATATTATTCACTCCATTGATGTACCAAACATATATATTTACATTAATTTAAGATAATTTCTACATTTGAGAAATAATGTCAGACTAATAACTTCTTAATATATATGGTCATTTGATTATTTAGGAAAAGAAAAAACATTGAGGCCACGGTTAATATGAGGCAAGCCAATTCCTCTGGGGAATATTCATCTCCTCTAATAGAGTTAATCAGAAGGAATGAAAAGGGACTTCTAAGTCCAGAAACATTTTCTCTTTGACCTCAACTTTTAGGCTTTCAAACAGACTCCCAATTACATCCAACTGAGGTAGTGACATCTGTCCTCCAGAAACATACGAAATAATTAAATCTCTTTATCTGTGAATTACTCAATGCCTTTCAGGATGTAATGCTCAATAAGTAAAACTCTTTACCCTTCATCCAGTGACACAGGATTGTGTCCACATTTTAGAAACTAGTGAATAACTGTGTTACTCATTATTACTGATTGTGCTTCTGCTCTGATCCTCCATGAATCCTTTTATTCCAATATAAACTCCCTTTGAGTGTAGAGGTGGGAGTAGAGGAGGGAAGCATTGTATGATACAGATTTCATTTTGTGCTATAGTTTTATATAAGTGCATCTTGAATTCACTCAGTTCTTGAAGTCATTTATACTATGGTCAAGGTATGATTCCAGTCCCTATGGACAAAACTCTAAGCAAAAATATAAGATTTCCTCTGAGTTAACAAGGTACTTTTGGCCATACTTATTTTAGAGTCTGTGAGTTCTGTTGTACTTCAAGTATTCATAAATATAATAAGAATCAAAACATTTAGATATTCATCATGGATTTACCACTAAATATTTGTTTACATTATTTTCCCCAAATCTCTTAACCTTTCCATATCCAGATGTTCAGAATATACAAAAGATACTGTTGATATTGTTTGGCTCTATGTCCCCCCAAATAATCTCATCTTGTACCTCCCATAATTCCCATGCATTGTGGGAGGGACCCAGTGAGAGATTATTGAATCATGTTGCGGGTCTTTCCTGTGCTGTTCTTGTGATAGTGAATTGTCTCATGAGATCTGATGGTTTTAAAAATGGAAGTTTCTCTGCACAAGCTCTCTCTTTGCCTGCTGCCATCCATGTAACATGTGACTTCCTTCTCCTTGCCTTCTGCCGTGATTATGAGGCCTCCCCAGCCCTGTGGAACTGTAAGTCCAATAAACCTCTTTCCTTTGTAAATTGGCCAGTCTCAGGTATGTCTTTATTAGCAGCATGAAAACTGACTAATACAGAAAATTGGTACCAGGAGTGGGGTGTTGATGAAAAGATACCAAAAAATGTTAAAGCGACTTTGGAACTGGGTAACAGGCAGAGGTTGGAATAGTTTGGAGGGCTCAAAAGAAGACAGGAAAATATGGGAAAGTTTGGAACTTCTAGAGACTTGTTGAATGGCTTTGACCAAAATGCTGATAATGATATAGACAATGAAATCCAGGCTGAGGTGGATCTTAAATGGAGATGAGGAACTTGTTGGGTACTGGAGCAAAGGTGACTCTTGTTATGTTTTAGCAAAGAGATTGGGGGCATTTTGCCCCTGCTTTAGATATTTGTGGAACTTTGAACTTGAGAGAGCTGATTTAGAGTATCCAGTGGAAGAAACTTTTATGAAGCAAAGCATTCAAGAGGTGACTCGGGTGCTGTTAAAGGCATTCAGTTTCAAAAGAGAAACAGAGCATAAAAAGTTGGAAAATTTGCAGACTGACAATCCAATAGAAAAGAAAAACCCACTTTCGGAGGAGAAATTCAAGCCAACTGCAGAAATTTGCTTAAGTAACAAGGAGCTGAATGTAAATCACCAAGAACATGGAGAAAATGTCTCCAGTGCATATCAGAGAACTTTGTGGCAGCCCCTCCCTAAATTATAGGCCCAGAGGCCTATCCAGAAAAAGTGGTTTCATGGGCTGGGCCCAGGGTCTCCATGCTGTGTGCAGCCTAGGGACTTAGTGCCCTGTATCCAAGCCACTCTAGCCATGGCTAAAAGGGACCAGCACAGAGCTCAGTCTGTGGCTTCAGAGCATGCAAGCCTCAAGCCTTGGCAGCTTCTATGTGGTATTGAGCCTGCAGAGTGCATGGAAGTCAAGAATTGAGGTTCGGGAACCTCTGCCTAGATTTCAGAAGATGCATGGAAATGCCTGGATGCTAAGGCAGAAGTTTGCTGTAGGAGCAGGGTCCTTATGCAGAACCTCTGCTAGGGTAGTGCAGAAGGGAAATGTGGGGTGGGAGCCTCCACACAGAGTCCCTCTTGGGCAGCTCCTAGTGGAGCTGTGAGAAGACAGTCACTGTCTTCCAGACCCCAGAATGGTAGCTCCACCAACAGCTTGCACCATGCACCTGGAAAAGCCACAGACACTCAATGCCAGCCAATGAAGGCAATGGGGAGGAGAGCTGTACCTGCAAAGCTACAGGGGCAGAGCTGCCCAAGCCTATGGGAACCTACCTCTTACATCAGTGTGACCTGGATGTGAGACAGGGAGTCAAAGGAGATCATTTTGGAGTTTTAAGATTTGACTGCCCTGCTGAATTTGAGACTTGCATGGGGCCTGTAGCCCCTTTGTTTTGGCCAATTTCTCCAAATTGGAATGGCTGTGTTTACCCAATGCCTGTACACCCATTGTATCTAAGAAGTAACTAACTTTCTTTTGATTTCACAGGTTCATAGGTGGAAGGGACTTGCCTTGTCTTGGATGAGACTTTGGACTGTGGACTTTTGAGTTAATGCTGGAATGAGTTGAGACTTTAGGGGACTGTTGGGAAGGCATGATTGGTTTTGAAATGTGAAGATATGAGATTTTGCAGGCGCCAGGGTCAGAATGATGTGGTTTGGCTCTGTATGCCCACCCAAATCTCATCTCATAACTTCCATAATTCCCATGTTTTGTGGGAGGGACCCAGTGAGAGATGACTGAATCATGGGGGCAGGTCTTTTTCATGCTGTTCTAATGGTAGTGAATTGGTCTCATGAGATCTGATAGTTTTAAAAACTGAAGTTTCTCTGCACAAGCTCTCTCTTTGCCTGCTGCCATTCATGTAAGATATGACTTGCTCCTCTTTGCCTTCCACCATGATTGTGAGCCTTCCCTAGCCATGTGGAACTGTAAGTCCAATATACCTCTTTCTTTTGTAAATTGCCCTATCTCAGGTGTGTCTTTATTAGCAGCGTGAAAACTGACTAATACGACTATCAAGCACTCTTTTTTTATGATTGGAAGTATGTTTGAGTTTTAATAATATATGAAGTTTTTTGTAACATAACAAACTGCATGCTAATTTAAAAATTGTATAATTCATGCTTTCTATTAAGGATGATCTCTGATAATATGAAGATTGTAAAATGATATAACTATTATTTGGGATACAGTCTGTAAATAAAAGCATCAATTACCAGGATATATGGTTACTTTATATAATAATTTAAGTAAATGTAATAAGTTATTTACATTGGCATAAAAGTTTTTTTCTAAATGTTTCTAATATTTCTTGAACTGCACATGGAAATAAAAATACTACTATAGGAAGATGAGAGTACTGACAATGAGAGATTCTAGATGGAAAAATACATGACAAAAATATTAGATATACAAAATTATTAAATGTCAACAAAACACTCAAAAGGTTATTGTGGCTACAGAATGTTTGGCGAAAATTGTCTAGACTGGTGCTTCTCAAACTTTAGCATATTTAAGAAACTTTAGAGGTGAAGTTTGGCAATCTGTTTGGGTAAGCTCTAAACAAAATGTACACTAGTTTAAAACTAATGATTCATGTTGAATTTTTTCGTCTCTTAATTGATTTCCTCAAGTCATTTAGTATACAGAATTTTCTATCCTAAAATCTGGACTCATTAAACCAGGATGTAAATCTGCAAGCTATCTTGTATAGCTAAAACGGGCATCCCAAATTTAACATTTCCAAACACTAGACACATGATTTCCTCACCCAAACCAGCCCCTCTTTCCAGCCTGTTATACTTCAATAATAACCATCTGATTGACAACTCTTTTAGTCTAATCTCTTTGAGTCACCTTTCACTTATTTCTGCAAATCGATGTAAGAGAAAATACCAATGGCTCTAACTTATAAATATATCTACAGTTTGATTTATACGCAAAAACTGGACCACTACTCTATGAATCCAAGCAACTATCATCTCTCAACTGGACTACTGCAAAAACCTTCTAATTGGTGTCCTACCTTTCACCTTTACTCTGGTTAGTGTTTTGACTATCCCAGAGTGAAAGAAATACTTTTAGAAGTAAGTCAACATTATTTCTCTTCTTTCTTTACCCAAACTTTGCAATGGTTTCCCATTTCACTTAGAATTAAAGTTAAATAACTCACCATGGCCAACATGGTACTGCAAGATCTGGCTTCCTTTAACCAGTAAGAAATTCTCTCATATCAGTCTCATCTTCCTCATTCCAGACTTGCAAAACAGAAGCCTTTGATATTCTTTATAGACAATAATGATTCTTTTGTCAGAACCTCTCTGTCTATTCTTCTGCCTACAATGGAATTCCACCTTAAATATCTGTGGCTATTTCTCATGGTATGGTCAGATAACACTCAGTGCTACTTTATCAGAAAGAATTTTCCAGAACATCAATACAAAACAGCACCCCATCCATAAATATATATATATATATATGTATATATCTTATTTCTGGCTTTATGTTTCTTTACTTAACAGTAGCTGATCTGTTTTATATACATTAATTTATTTGTTTATTGTCCTTTCCCCCAAGTTGGAGTAGGATCCAGGAAAGTAGGGTTGTTGTTTTCCTTTTTTTAATTTTTTAATTTTTTTTATGGTAGTTTCTCTTTGTTGGAACTCAAGAATATTAAAGAGAGTCTGAAACAAGTCATTGCTTGTTATGAGTTGAATTGTGTACCCCCCAAAAATGCATAGATTGAACTATTAGGCCCCAGGACCATAGAATGTGATGTTGTTTAGAGATAAGGTCTTTAGCATGGTAATCAAGTTAAGATGAGGTTATTAGATCAGGCTTAATCTAATATGCCTAATGTCATTATAAAAAGGGAGAATGTGAACAAAGACTTGTGCACAGGAACAGATGATATAAAGAGACATAAGGAGAAGATAGCTATCTACAGTTTGAGAAGAGAGGGCTTGAGACAGATTCTTCCCTCACAGCCTTCAGCAGGAACCTATTCTGATGTCTCCTTGATTTTGGACTTCTATTCTCTAAAACCACGAGACAGTAAATTTTTGTAATTTAAACCACCCATTGTGTGGTACTTTATTGCAGTAGCACTAGCAAACGAATACATTGTTCAATAAGTATGTATTTGTTGAATAAATTGAATGAGAAAATATTATGAAACCAGGTTTATAAAATGAAATAGATGCTTCCCCAGCTTTCTCATAACTCATGTCCCTCCACAGTTATTTAGTAAATACTGCAACTATGCATAAGTCCTTCCAGCAAAACAGGTAACAATTATAAAGAAATCAGAATGGTGCATATATACTGATACTACCAAAAAAAAAAGGGAAAGGAAACAGGAAAAGAAACACAAACATACTTGCAGATGAAAATGAAAATCATAAAAATTATATAATGAAACAGAAGAAAATTTTAACATGGCACTTATGCATGAGCTTAACAGTCTTGAGGAAGATATAGAGCTTTTGAAAGAAGAGCTTGGATACACAAGAAATATTGTCTTAAAAAATAGAAGAAAAAATTGGCAGCACTCAGGAAAGGAAAACTAAAAAAAATTATGAAAATGAAAGCTGCACTGGAGAAGTAAAAAAGTTAAATATGAATTGCTGAAAGTAGGGAGGAGTATGATAAGAAAACTTAGTAAACTTAAATACATCTCAATTACAATGAAATCATTTTAAAGCAAAAAAAGAAAGAAAAAAAAACAAGGAAACTGTGAACATCTCCATAATTGTTTCTCTTGAAGTAAATACTGTAAGGATGGAGCACATGAAACAGAAATACGGTTTTAAAGATAGGATGCCCTATTAATAAAAATGTACTATCTGAGGGCATGTCAGAGCTGAGGGATTAAAAAATAATTAGCAGCCGGTCACTGTGGCTCACGCCTGTAATCCCAGTACTTTAGAAAGCCAAAGCGGGAGGATCACTTGAGCCCAGGAGTTTGAGACCATCCTGGGCAACATAGAGAGATCCTTGTCTTTACAAAAGTTAAAAAATTAGTCAGGTGTCATGGCATGCACCTGTAGTCCCAACCATTTGGGATTCTGAGGTAGGACAATCATTTGAGTCCAGGAGTTTGAGGCTGCAGTGAGCTTTGATGGTAACACCACACTGCAGCCTGGGAGACAGAGCAAGACCTCATCACTAAGAACTAATCAAATAAATAAAAATAAAATAATTAACACCAGGTTGTATTTTAGTGAAGTTACTGAATAATGGAGAAGAAGGGGAGAAATGCCACAATGGGTCAGAAATGCACCCTCCCCTAATAAGTCACCTAAACAAAAAAATGATTGGCTTAAAATTGTACAATGCAAAGTTCAGTGCTAGAATACTGTGGATCAGTACCTATAAAGCCACATGAAGTAGATTCTTTAAAATTGAAACATCCAAAGATTTTTTAATCTGGCCATATTTCTTGGCATATCAGTGTGCACTCGATAAATGTATAGTAATTAAATTTTCTTAGCCAGACAATTGCTTGAAGTTTAAATCCAGCCAATAAAATAAAAATAGAAAGCTTAGTTGTTTGTTGTAATGGATAAAAAAATGACAGCACAGGTGGTAAGCATTCATATAGATCAAAGGCAGAGTTTTCTGTCTTGCTATGCAACACAATCACCTGAATATCTGATATAGTAAACACTCCTGGGTAATTCCAATATGCTGCCAAGGTTGAGAACGACTCAAACTTTCAGCACCTCTGGGTATTACTATTACATACTATAGCACACAGTTAGGTGTGTTATATCAAACAATATGGTTTAATATGCATTAAATACATAAATATTGTTTAATATGGATTTAATAAACAATATTGTTTAATACACATTACACACCTAAATGTGTGTGATCTTGGTAATGTGTAAAAAATAGTATGTAAAACAAAAATCTTATAAAGGAAAGGAAAAAAAATAATTTGTGGGAAAGGGCTGAATGATCATTATTTTTAGGTGATTTTTGCTTCATGGTGCCAAAAATGAATACACCGTATTTACAGGCACTTCTCAGCATTGACTCTCAAACGTGGCTGTATGTTGAATTACTTGGGCTTCAAGAATTACTGGTATCTGTACCTTGCTCTTTAAGATTCTGAATTAATTATTTTGTGGTACAGCTTAGATATCAGCATTTGAAAGCTCTCTTTAGTTTACACATGTTAAATCATAGATTTGATAGTAATGACTACTCAAATTGGTATGCATTTCAAGTAAATGTTGAGAAAAATAGGTAGATCCCTGAACTGATAACTTAAGGCTCATAAAATGGATTTCTAAATAGATCATCACTTCAGATGTAAATATTGAGAGTATTAAAATCTTAAATTAAGATTCGGGTTTTTCCTACATACATTCTTGCATATGACAAGACAATCTGAGCAAAACAACTATATATATTCTTTTCATAAGACAATGAATTTAGTACATAAAATAAAATATTCTGCAAAATAATGGAAAAGATAAATGACAACATAGAAACAATTATCAGTATCCATTATATATAAATATTTACACATAATGAACCCTAAAAACTATAAAAATGAAACCAGTAAATTTATTTTATAATATATTCATGGCATATAGGCACATGAAAATATGTTTAACCAGTACAACAAGCCAGATAAGCCTAATTAGTATGCCTGTTGGTATGTCCTGTCACATTATCTTTAGATGATAGGTTTTGTTGAGAGGGAGGTGATAAGATTTGGTTTACTATTAAGATTCGGGATCCTTTAAACAATTATTATCTTTGAATAGGATTAGGTTATTATGCAAAAATAACACTAAAACTGTTTCAGGCACAACACTTTAAATGCTGTGATTATGCAAAATTAATTGATCAATTTATTTATATATTCCTGAGCTACATTTATCTTCCACAGCATCATATAAGTTTATTGTTAGATAAAAAATTAAGAATAATCTATCCAGTCCTTTGAAAGTGTAATAATACTCTGTCCCTGGAAGGTCACCATCCCATCTCTTCAACTTCAAATGGAATTATCCATATAAAAAATATGACTTTTTTAATAGTGTAAAAGATAAATTCAATATATTTTATAAAATTAATCACAAATAATGTAGGTTGGTAAAGCATAATCCTAAATTATATTACCATGCCTACCACATTTTGAGTTTGTAGAAGTTTAACTTAAGAGAGAAATTTTTATTTCAATAAATATGTGTAAAATTTCAATACATATCTGATGACTCTCAATAGAAGTTGGTTTACGAAAAAAATACAAATAACATTTTGATCACATGTAATTCATTCCTCTATGTGTATAATTTTTAAGAAAATCCTTCTTCCTTCCCACATGCAATCTTTCAGGTCACACCATAAAATTATCATGGTTCTTTTTAGGCAGATATCTTAGTTCAATTCCAGTGGGTAAATTAAAAATGGACCCCTACAAAGTTTATTTTATCATTTTCCCTTAATACTAGAGTTTTCTCTACTTATTGGCATTCAGATATATAACATAAATGTATCGCACAGAAGGCAAGATCTCAATTAACAAAATGAAATATGATCTTTAATTTCAATTCTCTATCAAATATGTAAAAGTTGATGCACAATAGAGGAGGTATGGCAGAAAATGTTCTTTGTTTATTTAATATAAGTAACTTATCTTCTCCATTGGATTAAAAAAACTACAGAAAATGTACATACTGAACAGGCAGGATAAAAGGATTATCAGCAGTAAATCTGATATCTCTCTGTCTATCTATCTCTACTATTTTCCATATGACTATCTATCTATCTGCATATTTTCTTCACATTATAATAAGAGAGCTTACATTTCTGTTTTGGAGGTATTTCTAAAGTAAGGAAAGAGAAGTGAAAGACTAGACATTTTGTTTAATTTGATAGATGTTATTACTCTTGCATTTAGTCAGTTTACTAAATCAATTAATAGTTTCAGTATTTGGTTATTTTTCTTAGGTAGACAATGTACATAATTATATACACAAATGCTCATGCACACATACACACCCTATATCCTCATATAAAATGTTTAATTACATCAACTTTTATCTAGGCATTTACTGAGATGTTCATTAGCCAAGGACATTTATTCAGCTCTTATGTTCAGTGTGGAATTTCCACTCAACTTCCTCTAAAGGAATATTGTTGAGTGATCATTTTTGGCTTCATTGTGTTTCCCTTCCTTTTTCTTCTGCAAGGCATGAGAAAGCAACATTTTTGAGTGGTGATTTTGAGAAGATAAATTGAACATGCTCAGACCAACCTTTTTTCTCTCTCTTTGTGTGAGCCAAGAAAAAGGAGAAGGAGAAGGAAAGCAAAAGAGGTATGAAAGACAGTTAGAGAAGGAAGAGAAGCACGAGAAGGAAGAAAAGGATGGAACAGAAGAATGAAGGAGAATAGAAGACAGAGCATTCACACACATAGCACATATAGTTCAACAGACACTATCCTAATTGCCTTACATATATTATCTAACTTAATGCACACACCAATTCTCATGGACTATTATTATTCTCATCTGTAAATAAGAAAACAGATGCACAAAAGGATATAGTGTTTATACAGCTAGTAAGTGATAAAGCTGAGCCAATTACCTGGAGAGTTTGACTCAAGAATTACACCGAAGTGTTACTAATTCCTTTAATTGTCACAATTCCCTAAATTTTATGAGTTCATTCTTTAGTTCCTGTCAGTTTTTCATTAATAAATATATATATACTTTTTTTATGTACTTGTAGTTTTTAACCTTCTCACTTCCATCACGTGTTAAAATTATCTTTAGGTCTGGAGCGATGGTTCATGCCTATAATTCCAGGACGTGCAGAGGTTGAGATGGGAGGATTGCTTGATGCCAGGAATTCACAACCAACCTGAGCAACATAACAAGATCCCATCTCTACAAAAAATAAATTAGCTAGGCATGGTGATGTGTGCTTGGCCTATAGTCTCAGCTACTCAAGATGCTGAGACAGGAGGATAGTTTGAGCCTAGGAGGTTAAGCCTGCAGTCAGCTTTAATTGAGCCACTGCAGTCCATCCTGGGCAACACAGTAAGACTGTCTCAAAATGTATATATATATATGTATTTAATTTGTGCTATTATATCTGATTCTTAGAAGAGTCTGATAATTTGCACATGTGATTTTTTTGCATTCTCACTGATTTTATTATGCATATATCTCCTAGAAACCAATGCTGCAGAATTGTGATGCAAATCTGATTCATATTCCTTTATAAGTGAACTGATATTTTTCTTTCATGGTTATCAGAATTTTGTTTTTTATTCATTTTTTTCTGTATCATCAATGTGGAATTGGGTATGGGCTTTGTTTTCCTCCTGTTGATCCTATTTGATATGAGACTGACTTTTTAAAACAGAAGATTATATCTCAGCTCAAAGAAATATATCCTCATTATTATTTTGATATATTCTTTCAATCAAATTGGAAAAAAATATTTATCCTTATATAGCCACATAGCTACATCTCTCAAGTCTCTCAATACCATAAATTTTACTCAAATATCGCTCTTGTCACCTTTTAAATGAAACCTATCACACTACCCTATTTAAAATGCAAACTGCCTTCTATTTTATCATATGCAAATCCCTTTCATCTGTTCGGCTTCCTTTCCACTCTCTAACATTCTGTGTAGTTTAGTGATTTAGTGTATCTATTGTTAATTGTCTGGGTACTCACATTACAATATAAACTTTCTGAGAGTAAGAGTCATTGTCTCTTTGGATCCATTAGAATAATGTCTGGCATCTAGAAGGGTCATCAAGGATATTTAGTGGATAAATGAAAAGCCAATGAGACCTTTGCATCTCTCGTCTACGAGTCTTAAATGTCCTCTCACATTTTCTTTGTGTTCCGTTCCATTATTATCTCATGATTTGGGCATTTAGTTCATTACATTAGTAATCAGGCATAGCTCGTCTGCTAGCACTTTGCTGCTACTGTTTGTTTCACTGTTGAAAATTCAAAATTACATTGTTAGACTCCTAGCCTACTGAATGTTTATTTTTTATGGCAACCTTTTTTTTATTGAGTTACAGATGTGGTATGCTTTCAATTCTCTTGTTCATATTAATTACATTTTATGTTACATGTTCTTCTGTTTTCCATATCACCTCTTTATTTCTCTGGATTATTTTTGTTCTGATTGTTGTGGGGTTTTTTTTGCCATATTCAAAGGTCTTTAAAAATTGTTAATCTGAGTTATCTGTTTATATTCAGTGATGAGAAGTAACTGAGCAAGGTTAGCAACTATGGAAAATTTTTGTAGCCCTCCTAAGCATTCAGTTTTCATAATCAATGAATATGATTCTGTTGACAGCATGCAAAGGGGAGAAAGTATATTCAGGTTGGGTGTGTACATTGCTACTCTCTATTTGAAAGTGTCCTTCCTTCATCACAGGGTGATTATAAGACTCCTTGAATACTAGGCCATTCTCTGGTGACAAAATTCTCTTTGTTTACTATGGAGATAAAAACAGTCAATTGCTCAAAGTTTAGCAAGTATTTAATAGATGCTTAATAAATATCTGATGAATTAATTATGAATGCACTAATATCCCCCAAGTATGAGTTGCCTAGAACAGCTCTTCCTTTATTTTCTTTTTCTGGATAACCCTGAGTAATACAGAGATAACTATTGATACAACACCTTCATGACCCTAAGGTACTATCATAGAGTTCTGTGAAACTGATGGTTTGACTGATTCACAAAAGAAGCCTCTTATTAGTTATTATGATTTGAACCACTATCTCCCCAGGGCAAAATCAGTTCATGTGTGTCTGACTTTTCACTATCTGAAAAGGTTTTTTTTTTTTTTTTTAATGAGCATATAGAAAATCATAAAAGAAAACCAACTGACATAAACCAAAACACAGTTTTTGTTTTGTTTAGGGATCTAGTTAGCCATTTAATAAATTATATTAAGGAAAATGAAACTTATTGAAATATTAAATTTTCAAATGAATGGTTTAATCATTAAAGTTATTAGGCAAAATCAATGGGAAACTGTTTTAGGCAAAGAAAGTTTGATTCCATTTTGGTTTTGTTGTTGTTGTCATCATGGAAAATTCTACCCTGTTATCATTTTAAAATTCCTCATCTCTCTTTGCTTCAATGCTATAATTGCTATTTCATTGACTGGTTACAGCCTCAGAAGCTGGGTTGTTACCATCTGCTTTAGCTTTCTAGAACTGCTGTAACAAAGCACTACAAACTGAGCGGCTTAAACAACAGAAATTTATAGTTTTGCAGTCATAGAGACTAGATGTCCAGACCTGAGGTTTTGACTGTGTTGGTTCCTTCCGAGGCTATGAGGAAACAATCTGTTCCAAGCCTCTCTTCTTGGCTTATAAAGGGCCGTCTTCTCCCTCCTTTGTGTCATTTTTCTTTATGCATGTCTGTTTCTGTGTCAAAATTTTTCCTTTGTATAAGGACGCCAATCCTTATGTAAGGATGTTGGATTAGGGCTCACCCTAATCCCCTCAACTTGACTTAACAAATTATGTCTTCAAAGATGTTAAGATAGAGAGATAGAGATTGAGAGCCATCTATACTTACATAGAGATCTCTCTCTATATAGATTTATATAGATCTATATCTCTCTCTATATAGGTTTATATAGAGAGAGAGCTCTATAGATATAGAGATAGAGATCTATCTATCTGTCTATCTATCTATCTATCTGTCATCTCTCTATCTAATTGAAAGATGATAGAGATCTCCTGTTGGTTCTGCTTCTCTGGAAAACCATAATACACTCAGTCACAAAAAAAATAAATAAATAAACAATTTTTTGTGCTCCATAGACAACTTTTGAGCAAAGCATATCTGCTCTGCCTCCATGTAGTCATAGCAAAGGGCGAATTTCTACTCTGAGGGACAGTGGATGTCTTTTCCCTCTCTTTGAAGGAAGGGGTGGCTTATCTGATTCATGAGTGTGGCAGTAGAGCCTTCATTTCCCTTTGAGTGTCTTACCAGAGCAAGGATTTGCTGAGTGAACTGCTGGCTGCCTGGTGGTCAGCTCATGCACTTGGCCACAGTCAAGTGCAAGAAACCACCAGGGAGGGACATTCTGACTTTTCTTGATGTGACTCACAGTCACCAAAGGAGGAAAAGCCACTTACCTCATCAATGAGTTCAAGAGAAAGGACAAAAACAAGCTTAGCTCAGTCTTTCTGACATTCTTTTAAATGTTTCTGCCTGCAGAGAATGTATTTTTGTTTTGTTTTTTATCTGTTCTCAGCCATATGGTGGTATGGTTAAGGGCAGTCTTTGCCCCGCAGAGGTGGCCAACATATCTCTTGCTTTTTTTCTTAATGACTATCTAGGTATGTTAATTCTGGGTGAAGTGACGGAAAACCCATTGCGATTGCCTACTGAAGCTGTATACTCTCATCCAGTCTCTATCAGTAGTAGAGTTGATATTTTGCTTCCATGCTTTCTGACTTCTGTGACTTATCTCTCAATTATTTCTGTACACAAGAGGGGAAGAAAAGGTGCAATTTTTATCAACCTATAGCTCCTAGTACCAAGAATATAACAAGTTAGAATTTTTTATTTTCATTGTTATTGAATTTGTCCTACTACCCATGTAATAAATATTAAACAGTCTAGCCTCTTATCCAGTACCTGTGAGAGCAGAATTAATATTTTTTCTTTTTTCTTTTTTAATCACTTCCTATTGTACAATCTGTGACTTAAACTCAGTTCCATGTAATTTCACCTGCATTTTATAATCCACTCTTTGCCTCCTCTACATGAGAAACTCATTCGCCTCCCTTTCTTTGGCGAGAGACCAATTACTAGCTGAGAGCCACTAGGAAGATTCTCCTCCTAAGAAGAAAATGTGCCTTGTAAGATGATCAAGAAAAACTGATCATTATGAGAAGTGAGTACATTACTCTATGCCTCTCTTCTGATGAAGCGTTAAAATATATATTAGAATCTCAAAAGTTGCAAGAGATCCTACAACAAAGGAACAAACTTAGTGTTTAATCTAGCAGTTTCCAAATATTCTTCACAGTGGGAGATTTTGTTTGTGTGTTTATTTGTTTGTGTTCTCCTATGACATTATCATCTCCCACCTCAGGGATTTTGCTCTGACTGTGGTCCTGGGCCTTGCTCCAGTATCCACTCTGGTAACTATCATCTGATTTACAATGCATGCCTTTGGTTATCTTTTTGCTTTTTTATTTAGCACTGTTCCTCACTAAACAGTGAACTGCACAAGAGCAGAACTTTATGCATTGAGTTTTCTACTTTATTACCAATATTTGCAAACATGCCTTTCGATAGCAAACATTGAAACAAAGGAACCAATCTCAAAAGAATAAATTTTTTATGGAGTATTCATTATCCAGTGCTTTTCTTTCTTATTTTTATATTTCAAATACTACTATGTTATATCTGATTAAGTGTATTTAAATCTGTATTTCAGCACTTCAGACTTAAAGTTAATAGAGAAAAACCTTAGGTTTGAAAAATTATTTTATTTCCTATGCCTTCTTCCACACTAACTTGTAAAGGTTATACATGTATTATAATTTAATATGATAAAAATCTAAAGCTATAATAATAATCTGCCTAGTGTATAATTTGATTAATTAAAAACATTTTTGGTCATTTATTTCTGTTGACAATATTTCAAAATTAAAATAATTGGTTTTAGTCTTTTTGTTTGTTTTACATTTTTCTTGGTCAATAGTAGTATTTTAGAAAGTTCTAACAGAAACTTCACCCATTTTATTTCATGACCTTGCCAAATTTTCATCCTGGCAGAAAAAAAAATGTCTACATTAGATGTCTAACTTGAATTATTAATATATTGGATGGTAGTCTTTAAATCAGGACTGCAATGACTGAGCCACCTGGACATGTTATGAGGTCTGGCTCTACTGAAATTCTCATCCCCTCTTGGTTTACTTCTACAAGTTACATGCCAAAAACTGAAATGGCTTTCAGCCAGTCCATCAACAGCCCTTCTTCTTTGTAAAATATCTCACTTCGTATCTGAACATAACTCCTTTTATAGAAGTGTGAATTGCCCTCATTTCTTTGGTTAGGATTCTGGTGTTGGTCTATAATATTACAGGTATGATAGAGTTTCTCTAGGTAAGACTGTGTTTGTGCTAATCATAAAACTTTGCTCTTCATATGTACCTATGGGAAAATGCAAATCTTGCTAGGGTTTTCTGTCTGTATATTTAATAATCCTTACTTTACAGATCTTGTTTTTCACAAAAGCACTGAAATAGAGATATATTTTAGGCTGTTGCCAAAGTAAATGCCACTCTATTTAAGGCAATATACAAAACCTTCTTCCAGCATTTTCTATAAAACTGTTTTTGCACATAAATATGTTTTCTATGTTTTTATCCATTATAAATTTCAAACCGTCAATTCATGGCAGGAAGGCAATTTGGATATAGAGAAAGAATGTGTTTGCTATGTTAATTTGCTTCACAGAACTTTCTTTTATCTCATCTGGATACACTCTGTTTTATTGTTCAAAACATTCTTCCATTGTAAATTTTGCCCAGTTACAAAAATAAATAGAAAGAAGAAAATAAATATTGAAATATTCTTTTCTCTCAGTAGAAAGTTTACTGGCTTTCATTTATCCCCTCCCTAAGGAGAATCAGTTTGTAAATTATTTTTTCCTGGGGAACTCTATGTGCTTTGAGCAAGATGAATCAATTTGGTTTTAAATTGAAGTAACAAAGCCTTGATAAATTGTCTGCAAGACATTCACTTATAATTAGAATGACTTGAGATAGAAGTTTGGCAGGAGTAAAGGTTAATTCCAGAGTAGCGTTTTCAATTACTCTCCCATAAATCTGCCACTAAAATGCTTTTAGATTATTCATTTCAGAAATATGCTCTGATGCACATTCATACAAGAGCCCCTTTTTCTCTATGATCTAACTTCTATTGCCAACACTTACAATAACTGTGCTAGTACTGGAGGTCATGTAATACAGTTTGCTGTCTACAAAGAATTCTTGTTTTATATTGTGTCACAAAAAAAAAGGAGTGTAGGTATAAATTGGAGAATTGCAAATCATATGATTTGTGAGAAATTACCCCTCCTTACCAGAGAAAACTTACCGTACCAGAGAAACCGTACAATATATTTGTAGATATGATAAATGCTAATTTCACAGTATCAACATTTTCACAGTGTATTAACTCTGAGACTAAGAAAAACTTTATTTCCCGTAAGTTATGAGTTTTGTGGAGATGGGTCATGTTGGTCCTCTGGGAAGCTGACATTGAAGTGGAGTTGAGTCAGCACAGTGTATTGGAGGATAATGTGAGTGAGAGATTAAAAGGAGAAGACAAAGAATTGGGCAGGGAAATCCTTCAGACCATGATGCAGGTATGACACATGAGATAGAGTGAAATAAGAAAGAATGATCAGCTACAACAGCAATCCATAATGTAGAGCTGACAAAGTCAACCCAACGAGTAACTTGAGAATGATCACCTATCAGACATGTCCTACATTAGAGAGAAATAGCATGTCTGTAGTGGAGTTACAGGGGTCATTTATTGGCTTGGGCTACCTGAGAAGAATGTGGCCTCATCTCAAAAGTTAAGGAAGCTTCTGAAGGCATTGAGTCTTGAGGTTGTTAGCTAACTGCCCTACTTTGAGGAAGCCCCAAGGAGTGCATCTCCATGGTTGCTACAGTTCCACTCCTATATCATGTGAATAAACTTCTACATCCACATAGAGGGAGCAGTTCCTCTAGAGTTCTAGTGAGCACCTCTTAAATGAAAACGAAGCGGGAGATTGATAGGATACATTTAGTCCCAATTGCTATAATTGTTCTTGGTGTCACAACTGGTACTCATTATTTCCCTTGGCACTATCCATTCTAAATTGGCTGGCTTTGGCTTGTCACCTTTATGAGGTCCTCTGGCTTCTTGGTGGTAAGACTCAAACATTCCTATTAGAGAGTTTAGACTCTGATAAACATACCTTTCTCAGGCTATTTTTGCTACATTTCTCCATTCATAGTCACAGTCACATGGTAATGGAATAACAAGAAGCACCAGAGTGATGACCTCAGTCCCACACGTTTTACTCCTTGCTCTCATGGTGTTACAGCAGCCCTACCTCCATCTGATTAGGATCAATTATTCATACACAAAGAAGACTACTCTTCTTGCTTGGTTCCCCAAACACAAGGAATACAAAGTGTCCAGTTGGCAACACTAGTTTGTAGTGAATGTGACTATGCTATGTCCTTTAGCAAGAGTGCACAATAGTAAGGGTTCAGACCCTCTAGCCTCGAGGAGTCCTTATTTGCAGACATGAGAATGACAGCAAGTAAGGCCACTTTTGCTACCAAACACTGGTCCTGCTAAAGGACATAGCAAAGTTGCATTCACTACAAACTAATATTGCCAACTGGTTATCAGACTTCTGTGTTCTTTCTACTCAAAAAAAAAAAAAAAAAAAAAGCACTGTATATAGGATAGGCTCTAATTCAGTGTTGAAGCAATCGTGGAGAATGGTACTTCACCTTCACTGAGTATTGTCTCCACTTTGCCTTCAGGCAATTCCAACATTATCAATCCAGCTGCATTTGAATGGAGCATTATGGTGTAGAACCAGTGGATTCCATTGTTATGGACTCACACCTGTACCTCCTTTACTGTAAAGTGTGTTTGTTTGGTTAGATACTATTTTGTGTGGGATTTGAGTTAATCACTCAATAACCCTGAATGTTGAGGGTGGATGATGGTATATGGACTGTAAAGGCAAATTTATACTCAGAAAATTGTTTACTCCAGTGAAGACAACTTAATACCCCTTCAGGTAAAGAAGAATCTGGCTTGGTAAACTCCTCAGGAAACAGTAACGTTAAGGGGGGATCAACTTTGTTCTTTGCTGCTGATAGGATAAAGATACAGAAGATGTAACAGGTCGATTGATCTTGACATTTGCAGCCCATGTTGCAGCCCATTCTTGTTGGGTCCATGTGTAGCCTCCATCTGCCATTGTGGTTACTCTTTTCATGTACCCATTATGCCATTTCTGGATCACATGAAGATGGAGAAAGGACAATGTCAATTGACATTATTTTGTCTTCCTGGTTGTGCAAGGCTTCTTCCAAAAATGGATGATTTCTGGTGGGAGTTAACATGTGATACAAACATATTTACACTTTGTGCTTTCACCATATAGCCATATACATGGTTCTATCCAAGAACTATTTGTCTTTGATGTTTCATTTCTTTTTATTTCAGGCTCTTGTGCAGTTAGCCACATTATTTGCTACTGCTCATGACTGATATATACAGACATATTATACTTCGTGATCTGATCATCATGATATCATGATGTAACATAGTTCTCTGTGTTCTGTCTTGATCCAGGTTTGATGCACTAGCAAAAGGCCAGTAAGTTGCCTTTTTTAAGTGGCTAAGTCTATACTTCAACCATTTCCTTCAATGGGCCATCAAACTGTGGGCTACTCTGTATCAGCCCTAATAGCCCCAGCAGAATCAGATACCAGACAACCAGAGACAGCCCCTGTACTCCAGATGCTACTGAAATTATTCACATTAGCCAATCCTAGACATACTTTTCCTGCCTTGTCCTTTTGTTCTTGCAGAAACCATAATAAAGTATTACTCAGAGGCCTCTTCCCCCTTGTTGTTTGCAGGAACTGTGAATATAACAAACCTGTAAACTTTTTCAGTTCTCTGTCTTGATCTGTATCTGGCCTCATCATACATAACCTAAGGTAATATAGTGAAATGCATGAAGGAACAGTCAATGCAATGTTCTCTGGGATGGCTAAATAATTCAGATATTTTGGGGTCTCTGTTATGACAGAGAAAATGACAGTTAATAGACCCCTGGGTTAAACTGAATATATATATATTATATATGTATGTATATATAAAACATATGTATAATATACATATGTATATATTATATATATAAGGACTAACATATATAACAAATAAATATTAGTCCAATTCATGGAAATAAGAAAACTTTCTGATCATTTTTCCGTATTAGACTTATATTTGTCAAATTGATTATCACATACTGTATAGCTGGAGACGTATTTATCCACTGAAGCATATTTATTATGGCATCTATGATTGAGACCATGACGTGATTGAAACTGTGGTATTCTATGGCCATTCTCCAGGATCCCTTCATTTACAGTTAAGACCACACTAGTGGGTTAAACAGAAATATGACAGGAGTCACCGTTTTGCCTCATTTAGATCTTTAAAGGTAGCACAACATACTGCCATCTTGTGTCCCTCTAGAGATGCAATAGTGGTTTTCATTTACTTTCAAGGTGAAGCTGGGGGAAGTGTTTGAAGCTTGGCCTCCTCCATTCTCCTCAAAGCCCTTAATATACAGATCAAGGACTCAGTAGGAGTATCATCTAACTGCCAAATACTTTAATTGAAATTATACATTCAGGGCCTGGAGGATGTAATCACAAGGTGGATCTTCAGACCGATGGATCAATGTTAAACCAAACATTAGCCATAACCTCTGTATTAGGCCATTATTGTATTGCTATAAAGAAATACCTGAGACTGGGTAATTTATAAATAAAAGAGGTTTAACTGGCTCATGGTTCTGCAGACCATGCAGAAAGCATGGTGCTGGCATCTGCTCGACTTCTGGAGAAGCCTCAGAGAGCAAAATTTTACTCATGGTAGCGGGTGAAGTAGGAGCAAGCACTTCACATGGTAAAAACAGGAGCAGGCTTGGAGGGTAGGTACAACACACTTTTAAATGACTAGATCTCATGTGAACTCAGAGTGAGAACTCACTTATTACCAAGGTGATGGCCCAAGCCATTCATGAGGGATCCACCGTGATGATCCAGTCACCTCCACCTCCAATCTCCAGGGATTACATTTCAACGTGAGATTTCAGTAGGGATGAGTTTCCAAACTATATTAACTCCAATAAATACCTGTTTCCTGTATGCCTCTACTTGAATAAGGAAGCCATGATAATGCTTCAGGTCTTCAAGTATCAATGCTCATTCATAGCTTGTGTTCAATTGATCTTGATATGTCTAGCATCTCTATTACCTAAGGTATCATCTGAGTAAACAGCTGAAAGTCCCTTTGGGGAAGGGCTGGGGGAAACCATTTTCTGTTTAATTATTTTGAAATTGCTGAGTCCTTTCACTTGGGAACCTAGGCACTTCAATCAGTGCATTCTGGATCTGAAAATTGACTTAGTTTTGGAAACTGAGGAAAAGATCATGACTCCATTGGAGTGGCTGCCCTTAGCTTCCTGTTCATCCATGTTTGCTTTCTTTTCATTATGTATTTTCAGCAGAACATTTTTGGCCTCACATATTTTGTTCTCACACATGCTTTTTTTGTGTTAAACATCTTATCAGCTTTCTATGTGTCAATCTCAGCTTAAATATCACTCGGAACTTGCCACTCCTTATGGTAATATACAGATCAAGGACTCAGTAGGAGTATCAACTAACTGCCAAATACTTTAATTGAAATTATACATTCAGGGCCTGGAGGATATAATCACAACGTGGATCTTCAGATCAATGAGTCAATGTTAAACAAAACATTAGTCATAACTCCTGTATTAGGCCATTATTGTATTGCTCTAAAGAAATACCTGAGACTGGGTAATTTATAAATAAAAGAGGTTTAATTGGCTCATCGTTCTGCAGACCATACAGAAAGCATGGTGCTGGCATCTGCTCGACTTCTGGAGAAGCCTCAGAGAGCTTTTACTCATGGCAGAGGGTGAAGTAGGAGCAGGCACTTTACATGGTAAAAACAGGAGCAGGGTTGGAAGGTAGGTGCCACACAATTTTAAATGACTAGATCTCATGTGAACTCAGAGTCTCCCAGATTTGGGTTATTATGAGAAGCCACAGGGCTTCTATTGCTTTGATATGCCATTATCCCCATTGCTATCAACATGCCAAGCTCTATGGCAGGTTCTCCTGTACTAACCCCGGCCAAGACTTCTGGGTGATGTCAGTGTCTCTCTCACAAGAATGTTCCCAATAATCTTCATGAATGCTGCATCTTCTGAGCCTCCCTTAGGACATAATCTTCTAGTGTTCTTTTGGCATCACATAATATATCCATTCCAGCATGTCCACTTTCCTGAATGTTTTCATCTCTTCTTTCACTGTCTGTCACATCAATTCAGGCATTTCAACTTTGCTCAGCATGAAAGTTTGCTTTCTGTAGGCTTCTGTAAGACATACCCTGAGGTCCCTGCTAGGATGTTAAATTCCAAATCTTGAGACAATATACTGTGAATAAAATGTTGCCGATCCAGTTTTATATTATGTTCTCTTTCACAAATCCAGTGGCTAATTTTTGCAGGTCCATTAATGTAAAGTTCTTTCTTCCTTATTAATCCTGGGATGATATCAATTTGGATGTGCTGTGACTTAACCCTAATTATCAAATTGGTGTCCATGGAAAATGTAAGGATAGAGTTCCACAGTATCTTCCTGCACAAAGGGATTGCTAGGTTATAATGGGAGATGTGAGAAACCTCTGTAGGGTCTGTAAGTTCAGAGTAGTCTAGAGAGCTAAAATTTTCAAGGATTCAGATGTTTCTATTCTCTATATCAGGGTTCCAAGTTTTTCCTACCAGGGTTCAACTTTGGCATAACAGATCTGCCTCAGTTGAATTGCGAGTAATTTTGAAATTGGGTAAATCTAAGTATAATATGCTATTCTACCCTCTCATAGCAGGTAATAAAATTTCCACTTAAGGTACAAAAAAAAAGCCTCTTATCTTCACACTTTGTTTTGAATTGCTTGTCTACTGTCCTAAGCTTCCATTATCACTCTGTTGGATATCAAGAAAACAATAACAATCAATAAACATAAATGTCCCTTGTCTGCATTTCTTCTGTACTTTTTAAATGCCTGCATCATTGTGCTGGTGAGTACAGTCACATCCAAATGACCATTTTCCCAAGCCATCACTACCACACTATTTAGCAGTAGAGCTGCCATTCTATTCCAGACACTATCTATTTTTAGCATGCCTCTTGGGATTGGATTTCTATTACCGACAAAGCAATGAGATATACAGTCCCCAAATCCTATCTTACCACACCTGCTTTCTCAAACCACTCCCAATATCTCTCAGTTACATCTTCTGGGAATCTGATTCTGTAGGAAGTTCATTGAGATTAACTCCTGTGGGAAATAGAATAGAAGGAAGTAAAAGCAGTCAAGGATAGCTTCCAGACCCCAGGGAACACTGGAGCCATGAGAAAAGAAAGCAAGGAGAAAGAAGAATTGAACAAGAACAACAAACTGAAATTTATATCTGACAATGTCTTGGCCACTATAACAGGAAGAGACAGTGCAATGATAATCTATTACCTGAGTCTTATATTGGGTAGATATGGCCTGGCCCTGATACCCCTGCCATTGTCCATTCTTGGAGGGCAGCTGATCAAGAAGAGAATGAAGTCAGCTTGTAAGTGAAGACAGATGTGCCAGGTGACACAGCTGGAAGCTATTAGCTATCTGAATTTCTTGCATATCAACTGCTATTACATTCTTGAAGGGATATCCAACTAGAATACCCCTGTGGCTGCCTGAAGATGTGAGGAAAATAATATGGAACTAATAAGAGGAATGACATTTTGAAATAAATTATTAAAACAACACTGATATGGTTTGGGCCTGTGTCTATGCCCAAATCTCATATCAAATTGTAATCCCTAATGTCTGAAAAGGGGCCTGGTGGGAGGTGACTGGGTCAAGGAACACATTTCTCCCTTGCTGTTCTTCTGATAGGGAGTGAGTTCTCACGAGATCTGGTTGTTGAAAAGTGTGTAGCAACTCTCACTTCTTTCTCTTCCTCCTGCTTCAGCCATGTAAGACTTGCCTGATTCCCTCATGATTGAAAGTTTTCTGAGGCTTTCTCAGCCATGTTTCCTGTACAGCCTGCAAAACAATGAGCCAATTAAACCTCTTTTCTTTCTAAATTGCCTGGTATCAGGTAGTTCTTTATAGCAATGAAAGAATGGACTAATACAGTGAGTGAGTTATCTTAAGATCTGGTTGTTGAAAAGCATGTGGTACCTCTCTCCTCTCTAATTTCCTGCTGCTCTGGCCATGAAGGACATGCCTGCTTCCCCTTCACCTTCTACCATGATTGTAATTTTCCTGAGGCCTCCCAAGTCACACTTCCTGTACAGTCTGTAAAACCGTGAGCCAAGTAAACCTCATTTCTTTATAAATTAACCAGTCTCCCTGTTTCTTTATAGCAGTGCGACAATGGACTAATACAGAAAATAGGGACCTAGGAGTAAGGCATTGCTATAAAGACATCTGAAAATGTGGAAACAGCTTTGGAAATGTGTAACAGGCAGTGGTTGGAATAGTTTTGAAGACTGAGAAGAAGGCAGGAAGAAGAGAGAAAGTTTGGAACTGTCTACAGACTTATTGAATAGTTTTGATCAAAATGCTGATAGTGAGATGCATAGATGGCCAGGCTGATGCAGCCTTAGATAGAGATGAGGAACTTATTGGGAAGTGAAGCAAAAGTCACTTTTGTTATGCATTAGCAAAGAACCTGATGGCATTGTGTCCCTGCTCTAGTGATCTGTGGAACTTTGAACTTGAGAGAGATGACTTATGATATTTAGCAGAAGAAATTTCTAAGCAGCAAAGCATTCAAGATGAAGCCTGGCTGCTTCTAAAAACCTATGCTTAGATGTGTGGACAAAGAAATGACCTGTAACTGGAACTTATATTTAAAAAGGAAGCAGAGCATAAAAGTTTGAAAAATCTATGGCTTGTCCACATGGTAGAAAAGAAAAACCCATTTTTAGGGGAGAAATTCAAGCAAGCTGCAGAAATTTGCATATCTAAAAGAAAGAGAAGTACTAATAACCAAGACAATGTGGTTGTCTTGGTTTCATGAAGTTTCATGGCAGCCACTCCCACTATAGGCCAGGAGGCCTAGGAGTAAAAAATGGTTTTGTGGGTCAGTCCCATGGCCCCACTGCCTTGCACAGCCTCAGGACACTGCTCCCTGAATCCTTATTGCTACTGCTCCAGCCATGGCTCAAAGGAGTCCAGGTACT
This sequence comes from Homo sapiens, assembly GCF_000001405.40. Taxonomy (NCBI): domain Eukaryota; kingdom Metazoa; phylum Chordata; class Mammalia; order Primates; family Hominidae; genus Homo; species Homo sapiens. The sequence continues at coordinate 18,594,349 of NC_000005.10, read as the reverse complement.
CAGGCTGCTGCTTCAGAGGGTGCAAGCCATAAAACTTCATGGCTTTCATGTGGTGTTAAACCTGTGGGTGTGCAGAGTACAGAAGTTGAGGCTTGGAAGTCTCCACCTAGATTTCAGAAGATGTATGGAAAAGCTTGGATGTCCAAGCAGAAGTTGGCTGCAGAAGCAGAGGCCTCATGGAGAAACTCTACCAGGGGAGTGCAGAGGGAAAAAGTGGGGTTGGAGCCCACACACAGAATGGAGCTGTGAGGAGAGGGTCACCATTCTCCAGACCCCAGAATGGTAGATCCACCAACAGCTTGCACCATATTCCTAGAAAAGCCACAGACACTTATCACTAGCCATTGAGAACAGCCACGGGGGCTGAGTCCTGCAGAGCCAAAGGGGCAGAGCTGTCCAAAGCTTGGGGAGCCCACCCCCTGCATCAGTGTGGCCTGAATGTGACACTTGGAGTCAAAGGAGATTATTTTGGAGCTTTAAGTTCTAATGTCTTCCCTGTTGGGTTTCAGACTTGCACAAGGCATGTATCCTCTTTCTTTTGGCTGATTTCTCCCTTTTGAAATGGCAGTATTTACCCAATGCCTATACCCCCACTGTATCTTGAAAGTAAACTAACTTGTTTTTTATTTTATAGGCTCATAGGCAGAAGGGTCTAGCCTTGTCTCATGATACTTTGGACTTTGAACTTTTGAGTTAATGCTACAATGAGATAAGTTTTAGGAGGACAATTGAAGAGGCATAATTGTATTTTGAAGTGTGAGAGGGATGTGAGATTTGGGAGGGGAAGAGAGCAAAATGATTTGGTTTTGGTCTGTGTCCCTGACCAAATCTAATGTCAAATTGTAATCCCTAATGTTGAATGTGGGGCCTAGTAGGAAGTGAATGGATCACAGGGGTGAGTTTCCCCTTTGGTGCTGTTCTTGTGATAGTGAGTAAGTTATTGCTGGATCTCATTGTTTAAAAGTGTGTGGCATCTCTCCTCTCTTATTATCCTGCTCTGGTCATGTAAGACATTCCTGCTTGCCCTTCACCTCTGCCATAATTTTACGTTTCCTGAGGCCTCCCCAGCTATGCTTCCCCTAGAGACTGTGAAACAGTGAGCCAAGTAAACCTCTTTTCTTTATAAATTAACAAGACTCAGGTATCTCTTTATAGCAGTGCAAGAATGGACTGATAGAAATGCCATTTATAATGTGTTAAAAAGAATAAAATAAATACTTGGGAATAAACTTAACCACAGAGTTGAGGGATCTTCACAATGAAATCTGAGATATTGATGAAAGGAACCAAAAACAAAACAAATAAATGAAAAGATATTGCAGGTTCATGAATTGGAAGAATTGGTATTGTTAAATTACTATCCAAAGCAATCTACAGATTTAATGTAATCTTTATCAAAATTGTAATGACATTTTCAGGAAATCATAAAAAACAAATAAAAAATTAGTATGAAATCACAAAAGGCTGTATGTAACCAACATAATCTTGAGAAAAAGACCACACAAAAACTCATAACCATGTAAGGTAATGGATGTGTTAACTAATGTGATTGCACTAATAATTTCATAATGTATCAAACTATATTTCAAATTTTTATGGTATACATCATATATATGCAATGTTTATATACCACCTGTACCCCAATAAAGCTGGAAAATAAATAAATAAGTTTTTAAGAATTATTAAAACAATTCATCTTGCCATTATTTTCAGAAAGTGAATACTTGAAGATCAAAAAGTTATGTTAGCTAATATAAGAAGGGTAATTGGCTTACTCTAAATTTTTCAAAATATACAACTATTTTCCATTCTGCTGAGTGTGATATTAGATTTTAATTATAAATACCATATCAATGTAAAATTATTGCAATTTGTCTCATTAATCATATACTCATGTGAAATATTTAAATCCCGGTATCGCGTGGCTGGCAGGTTTTTTTCCAATTTTACTAATTATTCCCAATGAAATTGCCTCCCTTTATCCATTATTCCATGAATTCCACTTCCACATTGACTCTAGAACATTGGCCAATATAGTACATTTAGATTTGCCCTCATACAATTTTTCTGTAAGCCCTCTAAGCTCGAAGAATCCCAAGTCTATAGACTATGGTATAGAAAGAGTCCCTGTCATCCCGACTGTCCCAGATGAGTCCAGCCTCCAGTAGATCTGCCAACTGACTATAGAAGCACAAGTGAGACCTAGTGATTCCAGGCAATTTCAGGAGTACTGATCAAGCATTTCACAGAATTGTGAGAAAGAATACATTTCTTTTAAGACATTAAGTTTTTTTTCTGCTTTGCTATGCAACAATAGATAAAGGATGTAAAGTCTTCTCAATATCATTGAGGTTGTATACATCAATCATCTTTAAAAAGACAAAAACTGAATGTCAGTTTTTTAAAGTAACAGATACTATCTGGGGGAAAAAGTGCTGCAACCTATGTTTATCTAAATGCAGATTCTAAATTATTCTCAGAAAAGTATACTTGTAAATGTCAAAGTAGGTTTATTTTTATCTTCTTGTAGAATATAAACATCTAATCTGTACTTATAAAAATGCTTTTTAAAAAACATTCTATGGTGGTAAATTAACATGTTTTTGACATGTCATTTATAGTATAATTTCAGCACACATATTTAGAATACTCTGTAGAAAGTCATAAATAAGGTATGTACATATGAACAGCATTTTTGGTGTTAAAAACTCTACTCAGAAAAATATATTCTGAAACAAATTTTGATTATACTGTATATTTTGTTTTACCTGTTTCACTTATTTATTAAATGCCTCATATTTGCCAGTGACTAAATTCTACATTTAAAATATGAAGTTGAATAAGAAATGTCCTCAACTTGCAAATAGCCTGCAGATATGTAAAATAACAATTATAAGGTTGTTACATGGATGATAAAGAATGGGTTTCACAGGAAAAAAATATTAAGATGAGATTTAAAGATAAAGTGGCTGATCTGTCAAGGAGCTGGAAGAATTGTAGAACTGCAACTGGGAGTAAAAGAATACGGTATGCTTGAGAAAATATTTTGAAATCTCACAAGAAAATTCAATAATATTAATTGTTTAATAACAAATGATGTTATGTTATTGGTTACATTTTTTATCTGTATTCTTATTCCTGTAGCAGCTCCACTGATGATGAGGTGAGTGGATCGAGTCACCACAACAAGGAAAGACCCATTTCTGATATTAACACTAGTTCCTTGAGGGGAAATTAAATGAGATAATGACTGTGACACAATTTGGAAAGCTGTAAAGTACCATTAAAATTGAACATTTGAATTTCTATTATTTTTCTTTATTTGGTTAACCATAAGTGCTTACATATATGGTAGCATTTGTAAAATTGTGTTTAACTATATCTTGACATTTAAACCATCCGTGTTGATTTTATAGGTAAAAGTTGGCTAGAAAGTCCTTATTATTTGAGTGTTTCAGTAATCTAAAGGTAAAACTAATAAAAAGAAAACTCATTTATGCAGCTCCATTTTCTCCTTCACCAAATCTCAATGTTACAGCTATTACAAGTGGAAAATAAATCATTCTTAAACATAACTTTTTTAAATTGTGCATCGCATTAAAAGATTTTAAGAATTCTAACTCAACATTTTTTTCAGGCTTTCAATATGATATGCCTGTTATTCCGAGAAAAATGATTTGCTACATGAATGTGATTGACAATGTGACTTACAGTTTTTAAAAATGAGAGAAGCAGAAATAAAAACACAGTGGCTTCAAATCAATTTGAAAATAAATTATATTTGTAATTTGGCTTTTAGCAAGCAGATTTGTTCCAAATGTGTTTAACTGATTTTAAAATGATGATATTGTTATCTCCAAAAAGTATAATCAATATCCACTTAAATTTCTGAGCATTAGATATGACATTGATCATAATATCTGACTTCAGCTTTTATACTGCCTTTAAAAGGATATAATATACCTAGTCATATTTCCACGGACCTTTGAAATGAGTGCTAAATATGAACATAAGTTCATATTGGCACTGTCACTTATTTTTGCCTCCAGGGTTCTACTGCCATTCCAGAGACTCTGAAGACTTTTTGTTTAAAAAAAAAAGAAAAAAAAAAAGAAGAAAACTTCAGGTAACCTTGATTTAATCTACTTAGCAAAAAACAATAAAGAAATTCTCACCTGCCAGCAATTATCTCTCAAATTCACACTACAATAAGAAGGATTATAAACATTAAATGGTCCCCTAGGAGTGTTCAGCTAGAGCACTTTGGATCATAGCAGGTCGATCTGATCTAGTTCTATCACCCTCCATTATAAACTTTGTCAGCATAGTTCTAAAAATACACAGGAATACATTCTCACCTTTCCAGGGGCTGCACTGTAGAAATGCCCACCACTGTGCTAGCTCCAGTGCATTATTTTTATCCCTTTTGCATCCATAATTCCTTTCTCTACTTATTACATTCCACAGATCAGACTATACCATAGCCCAATACTTGGGAAAACCAGAAGAAAGTAATTAATCCATGTCATTTAATGTGTGCAAACAGTTCTATTTCAGCTACATTCTCTGACTTTACCAGTATTTCATACTGTTTGAAATATCCATTTCTTTTTATTCTTCCCTGTTTGTGTTACTAAAAGGTTCAATTGAATTGCAAACATATTAAAAGAAGAAATATGTAAAATTATCGTCTATTAACTACCCAACCTGAATTTGCTTAACAAGTAAGACATTGTAGAGAATAAAGAAGTGTAGGAAATAATTGCATATGCACATTAGCACACACGTATATACCAATATCAAATTGCAGGTAGAAGACAGAAAGATGGAGCAGTTCCCCAAAAATATTTTGCTACATTTCAATAGTAATTTTAATGCTATTAACTAACAATTGTCAAGAGTTGGCTGTCTTTATTTTACTGAATGTTTTTACGCTGAATTATAGTGATATTAAGTGTAATGTCCTGATTTACACTTGTTTGAATTTTTCTGAGTGAAGTTTGCTTCTTTTGTCTTTCCTTCGTTGAGTCATTTTTTCTTTGAGATGTCCCTGTTGGAAGTAGTGCACAGTTAGACTTTTTGTAAGGCTATGCTTTGATAATCTGAGGTTTAGCCCGTTTTACTGTGTTACTACCTTTGAAATTCTTGCTGGTTTTCTGTAATAGTTTCTTTTTAATTGTTATAAATTGCTTTCTTTATGCAATATGCTAATATGTTGATTTTGTAATGGAGTTCTAAGAGAGGGCAAAAGAAGAGGTGTTAAACGTCTTGGCTATTGGGCTTAATTTTGGCCTAAGACATAATATCATCAATAATATAGGTTTTTAAAAAAATATTCATGGCAATGTAAGTTTGACTCCACATTTTTAACATATTTAATTGTTGAGATATAATAACAATACATTTACAGAAATCTGATAATAATCAGGAAGACGAGAAATCGTCTGTTTGCTAAAATTTATGGTAGTTTACCCAATGTTGTTCCTTTGCACTTTTTTTTTTTTTTTGAGACTGAGTCTCACTCCGTTGCCCAGGCTGGAGTGGCACGATCTCAGCTCACTGCACCTCTGCCACCCAGGTTCAACGATTCTACTGCATCAGCCTCCCGAGAAGCTGGAATTAAAGGCACAGGCCACCACGGCCAGCTAATTTTTGTATTTTTAGTAGAGTCGGGGCTTCACCATGTTGGCCAGGCTGGTCCCAAACTCCTAACTCAAATGATCCGCCTGCCTCAGCCTTCCAAAATGCTGGAATTACAGGTATGCACCACCGTGCCCAGCCCCTTTGCACATTTTGCCACATCTAACTGAGTTACAATGTTGCTTTAAGCAAACTGATTTCTGAACCAAAGGAATAGTCACAGAGCCCCATTGCTACCCACTGTCTCTTCTAAGATTTGAGGGACTATGTGCAGAAGGCAGAATGAAAGTAAAATAAAATTTCCTACATTATGAGAAAACACCAAAAACCTAAAAATGCTGAGATATACACTGAACCATCAAAAAAAATTTATCATGAACAATTTGGAGTATCAAAGAGTAAAATTTTAAACATAGTCTCTGATTTAATTCACTAAATAATTACAGGTAGCTGAATTATTTATCTATTACCAATTTTCAATTTACATTGTGAATTGAAGTGTATACACAATGGTTATTTTACCAAAGTATTTGTGAAATTTAAAAAGATAACTGTGCATTGTGTATAAACATGTTCTCTAATTTATAATATGTACTAATAATTTAGAAGTTATTTCTATCTGATTATTAGGAAAAGCATCGGTGCGCTAACAGCAGAAATAACCCAGACTATCATTCATTTAAAATAAACTATCATGTTGATAGCAATAAAGAGAGGTTCATCATTCAGAACTTTAAGTCTCATCTTTTAAAACACAAAACACATGAAATGTGATGTTTTTAAACACATATCCTACCTTTCATATTATGCTCCATGCATTTATATAGAAAATTCACCTTTGGTTTCTGATTCTTTAGTGTTAACATTCAGAATGACTACAAATTTAGTTTGATTACTATGTTAAAGAATATAGGTAAATGTTTCTAAATGAGCAAATAATGCTGAACAAATGTAAGAATAAAAAGTGTTCAAATACATTTGACAATAATTAATTATTTGAAATATCAATCTATTCATATTCTTAAGAAGTGAAATGACATTTAATCTCCATGGTACTAATTGCTCAAATTATGCAGCTAGAACACTTTCTATAGAAAAAGAACTATTTTCCTTGTCTAATAGAAAAGAAATTATTGCTAATATCAATAATATTTTTATATCAGTAATAATTTTCTAAATAAAACTATTCTAAAGTTTTATTTAGAACTACTCTAAGAACTAACTTTAAGAAGTTAAACTTAGTTTGTTTAGAACTGTTTTATTTAAAAACTATTCTAAAGTTTTATATGTGTTACGTATATGCATATCTAAGAATTTTTAGGCTAATTCTCTTTAGGTGGATATCAATAAACGTGGGAAATTTAGTCTGAGAAAATATTATATGCTTAGTGAAAACAAAACCTCAGGAATAACAGGATTATTAAGGATTACTAATAGAATTATTAATAATTAAGAAGGATTATTAAGAAGACTTCTGAGAAACATCACGTTATGAGGTCAAATGTATAATTCCCATATTTCTATCTTATCAGGTCGGTGCAAAAGTTATCGCAGTTTTTGCCATTAAAAACTTTTAATGGCAAAAGCTTTTAATGAGAAAAACCATGATATCATTTGCACCAACCTAACAGATAGCAACTGAAATGACCAACAATATTGAGGTGAACAGACATAAATAAATAAATAAACAAACCAACCAACCAACCAATCAATCTGGCTAAATAATTGAAACTAGGGAGAGTAATGCCCAGAGCCTTAAGCTGAAATGGTGAGGTACAGTCTGTCCATTAGGCAGTCCAATAAAGTGCTGAGGATCAGTGGCCCAGTTCTCAGTCCCATGCAAGTGGATCAGTGCCATGTGGGGTCAGAGGAGGAGAAGATAAAGGAACTAGCCCATTCCCCTGGTTTCTACGAGGAGACCAAGCCATGGGAGGTTCAGGGATCACTGAATAAACTGATGGTGGGTTAGTCTTTTTAAACACATGTAATCTTGTTTCTAAAATCGTAATAACGCAGCCATTTCAAAAATAACTTTGTAGGAGTGCAGATTCTGTGTGTAGATTTTCTTGACACAATAGCTGACTTCACTTTCTTGACCCACTGGCAATTGAAACAAAACATGTCAATCCTCACCACGTTGACACTTGAAGATGATGGCAGGCTGATAAAAAGGAAATGCAAAAAGCTAGTGTCTAGCACTGAGTTGCTTTGTTTGTTTTGTTTTGTTTTTAACTCTGAGGAAATAATTTATAAAAACTAAATTTTCTAAAGCCCTCAGCATCTTATCCAAGATGCTTTGACCTTTAACTGGAAATATATGTTTGCATAATCCAGACATCTAACGTATTTTTACATTGTTCGTGGAATAATTTATTTTAAACATCTTTCAGTAGAAACAATTTTATTTAAGTGTGCATAAGTGGACTCCAATACACAACGTAGAAGAGCATGATTTACTCTCTGAAGCAACTCAATCATCAGGGCATGCTCCAAACCTTACCGCTTAGGCACTTCAAATGCTATGATTGAAATTTCCATCATGATGTTTATTAATTAGTATGAGAGGTGTTAGGGAAATTTACAGAAACAAATGGTATTCAAATATGTGGTTTGGAGAAAGCCCACGCATGAAAGAAGGAAAAATATCAGGCAAGATCAGTAACTAATACTTTTGAATTTGTACTTCAAATGCAGAGTTCTGTTGGTTTATGAGTCCTCTGTCTTGATTCAGCTGGTGTGGTACCAAGATTATATTGCAGTTGCTTTTCACGGGAAGTACTTGTTGAGAATAGATATATACCACTCCCCCAAGTGCCTCCAATTTTTGAAGACATTAATATTGAATAAAAGATCCTACAGTATGTTAAACAACTAAGTTGTCTCAAGTTTGTTTGCAACACATATCTAAGAACAGATTTGTTTCTATCCTTAACTAGTTGAGCAATTAGGGAGAACAAGTGGTAACTAAACCAGACTGTTCTGTGTTTTTCTTAAGAATTAAACATACACTGGAAACATTCACGTACACATGTGTACACACACACAAACACATACACCCCTCAGCAGATATCTGGGAAAACATCCTGAAACATAAAAGACACAACACAAAGCATAGCACAGACAAAATAGACAAAGAGCATAGTAAATGACAAAATAACTGCTAAATTAACTAATGTAAATTATATATATATATATGTATATATCATTTGCTATGCACGTTCTCATTGAACAAGAATTCTGAATTAAGAGATTAACCAACATTTCTAAGGTAATTGAAATGGAAAATGCTGGCAGCATAAAAGTAAGATTATTGTGTATGCTTTTCTTTCAAATCACTTCACCACTGGTGACAGATCCAAATCTCATGGCATGAGGTGTGAGCTCATAGCCCATGATGAAATCCACCCAGGTTTAGCTCTGGTGATTGGTTCAGAGAAGAACATAACTGTAAAGTGTAGGCTACAAAAAGCCTTCCTTGGATCTGTTCTTTCAGGAACTGGCAGTTCAATGGTTGCTTTCATTTCATTTCATTTCATTTCCAAAGTTCCATGGACATGAGCCTAGAACCATTTGTGTTTGTGAATTCAATCTCATCTGAGCAGCTGGTCTAAGAGATTCAAGCCAAAAGGCAGAGAGAAACACATACAAAAGAAAGAGAAAGTCTCAACAATATTCAAATTTTATGAACCTCTAAAGCCGGCTCAACTCTTTCTACAATTCAATAGCAGAAATGTATACAAGTCCCAACATTCCTTCAGTTGGTGTATGAGGGTCTTGTTATTCAGGAACTTCACCAAGATAAGCATGAAGAGGGGCTGTTACCAATGACAAGCCATAAAATGAAAAATATGGCTGAGTCACAGGGGCTGGGAAACAAGGGCTGTCTCTCCCTCAGAAGCTCACGTAGTGTTATGTGTTAAATTGTATTTTGCCCAAGAATTTACATCCTTCACTTACTCAATCAGGAATTGAGATGTCAAAGCCAAATTGCCGAATAGGGCAATTCTCCTAGGTCTAATGTAAGGGATCAGATTTTCTGTAGAAATCAGAAGTCCTAACCCCTAATACCTCACAATGTAAGCTTATTTGAAAATGAGGTCATGGCAGATATAATATTTACTTAACATGAGGTCCTAAGGATGGACCCTCATCCAATATTACTGGCATCCTTATAAGAAGGGAAGATTTGGACACAGATGTACATAGAGTGAAGGCTATCTGAAGAAATAGAGGAAGACGGCCATCCCCAAGCCAAGGAGAGAGGCCTGGAGCAGAGCCTTCCTCCACAGACATTAGAAGAATGAACATTGACGACACTTTGATTTTAGACATCTAGCCTCCAGAACCATGAGGTAATATATTCTCGTGGTTTATGCCACCTAGTTTGTGGTACTTTGTTAAGGCAGCCCCAGAAAACTAATACAGATTCTAACAGTCCAGGTTCTGAGGCTTTAACCAGGTATTAAAATACTCCTGTAGTATCTCAGTATTTGGACATTGCATACACTGAGATTTTTTTTTTTTTTTTTTTTTTGAGACGGAGTTTTGTTCTTGTTGCCCAGGCTGGAGTCCAGTGTTGAGATCTCGGCTCACTGCAACTTCCACCTCCTGGGTTCAAGCGATTCTCCTGCCTCAGCCTCCTGAGTAACTGGGATTACACGCACCTGCCACCACGCCCAGCTAACTTTTTGTATTTTTAGTAGAGATGGGGTTTCACCATGTCAGCCAGGGTGGTCTTGAACTCCTGACCTCAGGTGATCTGCCTGCCTCGGCCTCCCAAAGTGCTGGGATTACTGGTGTGGGCCACCATGCCTGGCCACACAGAGACTTTTTTAAAGACTTTGAAATTGAAGGGGGTTATTTTATTTCTTTCTGCTTTAAGTAAAAAGTCTGCAAGTTAGAAACAAGTTGAAATAAAATGGGGCTTACATGTAAAGAAAAGTACAAAGCAAAGCAGATCTCCAACACTGTTGAAGGAGGACATTCTGGTTTGTAATATGCAGAGCCAAGGAGAAAAGGCCAGTTAATAACAAGAACAGAATCTACAAATACTGGGTTAGTTTTGATTAGAAGTTGTTGACTTTAGAGGTTTTCTGCAAGTGCTTGTTAGCCAGTGAAGTTGACATTCAGCCAATTGATAATTTAAAGTTCTTAGACTGCCAGAAAAAATCTTAAAATTTTTCAGCAATTGAGGAAATCCCCAGTCTCCTTGACCCACTCGATTGGGAATTGAGAAGCCAAAGACTGACAACCCTAATAGGGCAATTTTCCCAGAGCTAATGTAAGGGATCAGATTTGCAAAGTTAGCTTGTACAAATCAAAAACCAAACGTGGAATAGTTGTTTTATTTGTTTGTTTGCTTGCTTGATTTTTGAGACAGAGTCCTCACTATGTTGCCCAGGCTGGTCTTGAACTCTTGGCCTCAAGTGGTCCTCAGCCTCAGCCTCCTGGGTAGCTAGGATTACAGGCATAAGCCACCATGCCCAACCAGGTTCAATCTGAATAATTTCAAGTATTCAAGTAATGAAGAGGCGCAAGTGAAGAAAAGAGAGGCCTAGGACATTGTATACTATTTCCCAGGTTTTTCTTTATCACATCAGACACACTCTACAGCCAACAATTATGCATGCAATCTCTAATAAGGTATGTGGGTTAGTGGTTCACCTAGCAGAAAACATTTGTGTTATAAAGTTATTTTATACCCAGATAATCACTTATGTTTTGTTAAGACCGCCTTTGCAAAGATAATGACAGTGAGAGAAATCTAACATGACTGACTCCATCTTGCTCCTGGCCTCACAGTCTGGCTGTCTTCATTCATTCTTGGGTGTAAGTCAAGCTAACGATGGGAGGAATTTATATTTTAACTTTGAAGCAAGAATGGTAATTGTTCCTCCCTAAAACTGATCCCCTCCTTGCTTGGAGGCTGAAGTTGCCTTCATAAAACTAATGACAGGCCTCAAGATGAGGATTATGGGAAAGGTCTGAATTCTGCTAAAATGTAGACATAGTTTCTACAATCCCTTACTGCTCAGGAGTAATGTGGCCAGAGGTTACATTTATAACTTCGCCAATTGCTTGTATAGGTAGCAATGCTAGTATAGAACCTAAGATTGGTCTTTTAAGATGTATTTCCGACCTGCGCTTGTGACTCATAACTGGTCTTGCAACCCCTACCTAGAGGCTGATTCAGTGCATGAGGACTGTTTTCCACACCCCTATGATCGCATCCTCAACCAATCAGTAGCACCCATTTCCTAGTCCCCTGCCCACCAAATTATCCTTGAAAAATCCTAACCTCTGATCCTTCAGGGAGACTGATTTGAGTAATAACTCTGTCTCTCATGTGGTTGGCCCCATGTTAATTAAACTCTTTCTTTACTGCAATATTATGGTCTCAGTGAACTGGTTTTGTCTGTGCAGCAGGCTGAAGGAATTCACTGAGCAAGCAGTGTGATTATAGAGACAAACCCAGGCCTGACAGAAAAGAATACAGATGACATAGCACCCTGGAACTGAATGTGAATAAAATAGCAGGATTTGACTTCAGATTTTCTCCTTTTTGTGAGTGTGTTTTGAGTTGCATGTGCAATGATTGCTTAGTATTGGCAGAAAAAAGTTTTGGAGAAAAATTTGGAATTGTATGTATTTTAGGGTGTGTGTCTATGTGTGTTGGGCAGTCAGGAAGTAGAAAATTATAGCTCTTCTTGTCATATACCTGCCCATCTTCTCACATTTTTCCAACATAAATATAAGAGAGGACACATGTCGGTGACCAAATTACAACACAATTGAATTCCCAACTTTCTAGGGTATGTTCTATCAAAGTCAGGGCGTTGACTGACAGGAAATGGGATCCTGAAACTTGAAATGGCTACATACCAGTGAAGTTGGAGGCATTAAATTCTGATCGTCCTCTTTGCTAGAAGAAGCAGCCCATCCACTTCTATCTGAAGATGTTGGCCTTCCTTTTCCTAAAACATTTAAAATGGCTTCCCTTGGGGTATTTTTTCTTGCAAGGTCTTGCTGATTCTCTTTGGGGCTTATCTCTGCCTTCCTCCACTCTTTGTTTCTAGACCTATAAATAGACTCAACTTCAACAGGCCCCAAAGAGTAAGGTACAAAGGATAACCTATTAAAAGGTCATTGCACATCAAAAGAAAACAAAACTGCATGTTGTTTGCAATTTATACACATAGAAATTTGAGGAGTACATATAGGACTGGATATTAAGAATGTAGGATTATAGTGATGGAAATATAAACTTGAATCAGGCCAAAATTATTGATGCAGGCCTACTAAGCAGAAATTCTAAAGTTTTAGTTAGTTGACAGAAACATGGATCCAACAGTGGCATGTATTAAATGAAGATGAAATGTCAAAACTGCTTCAATGTACTATACTGAAATCTGTCCAAAGGCTTAGGAATCTTAAAATGGTAGAGAACATTTATCATATAAAACCTTCTCGCTCACCCTGGGGGGGTTCCATAGGGCACAATACACTTTCACCATAACTACAAGGGAAATATTTGTGAGGGAAGACCCAGCATCCTTGAAGAAGTCTGTGGATTTGGTTCTCAGTAGGTCAGAAATTATGAGAAAAATTTTGCCATCAATCTAGATCCCTAAATATAATGGGCATAATAGAAATCCATGGAAGTAAGGCCCAGGTGTTGTCACTTAATTGCCAAAGAAAAGATGGGTGTGATTACCATAATAGATACTGGAACCAAAGCAGCAATCAGAATAGCCTGACTCCCAGAGACCTGTGGCATTGGCTAGTTAAGCATGGTGTTCCTAAGAGTCAAGTGAGCAGACAGTACAGTAAATTATTATTTCATCGGAACAAGTGGAAGACTTTTAGGTCAAGAGAACAAATGTCTAAATTGAATCATGAAAACAGTCACATCCTCTCAATCAATTCCCAGACTTGAGCCAGTTTACAAACCCAGAACTTTTTAAATGAAAGGAAGGCTGGGTTTCCTTGATGAAGGATCCTGTTACACTGCCAAAATTGTATTTATCTTTTTCCTGGTCTTAACTAAAAGGACGTATGGTCATTTATCAGGGTGACTGTGCACTGAAGAAATGTACATAATCAAACTTTTCCTTGATTACTAGGCACTGGCTTGGAAATGGCTCTACTTCTTGGCAATCCAAAATGTCAATGAGGATCAGACACAGTAAGAAAATGGAAGATCCTAAGAATGTAAAGTGACCAATGCATTTTTAGCTCAGGTCCATCTCAGAGTTAGTTCAGGAAGTCCCTAAACTTAGGCTGTGGTTTTTTCCCCAGATTCAGAATGCAAATTGGAATAGACATTCTCGTCAATTTGCGGGATCCTCACAATGGCTCCAAGGCCTGTGAACTGAGAAACATTAAAGTGGGAAACAGCAAATGAAAGTCACTATAACTGCCTTAACCTACAAAAATGATAAACCAAAGCAGTAACACGTACCTGAAAGTATTACAGAAATTAATGCTACAATCAACAACTTCAAAGGTGCAGCAGTGGTGATTCCCACACATTCCCATTCAACTCAACTAGATGGTCTGTTTAGAAAACTGTAAAGGACAGAGAATTATTCTAAAATTAATCTCAAATTGCAGCTTTTTCATGTGTTTTGGTTGCTTGAAAAAATTAACATATTCTGTAGTACCTAGTATATGAGTATTGATCTGGCAAGTGCCTTTTCTTCATATTTTTTAATAAAGAATATGGAAAGCAATTTGTTTTCAACTAACAAGGCTAACAATTTACCTTTTTTGTTTTTTTCTCAAAGTTATATCAATTTTCCAGCCTTATGTAATAATTTTGTCCAAAACGAACTTGATCACCCTTTTCTTCCACAATATGTCATACTGGTCTGTTGCACTGATGATATTATGCAGTTTACACATGGTGAGCAGAAAGCAGCAGTGACTGTATATATATTTGCAAAATATTTGTGTCTCCAAGGTTAGGAGATAACTCTTACTAAAAATTCAGTGTCTTTCAACTTTGGTGACATTTCTAGTGTTCCTGTGGTTTGGTTGGTGTGGAAAATGTCCAGATATCTCTCCTAACACGAAGGATAAGTTATCTGGCCCCTCCTACCACAGAAAAGAAGAATGATGCCTAGCAGACCTATTGGTATTCTGCAGGCAACATATTCAGCATTTGGCTATGCTACTCTAGCTCACTCAATGAGTGACATGACAGGATGTTACTCTTGAGTGGGGCTCAGAATAAGAGAAAGGTCTGCAAAAGTCCAGGGTTCCCTTAAAGTTGTGCTGCCACTTGGTGAAGGGGTGGGTTGCCCCTCCACACCTGTGGGTGTTTCTCGTTAGGTGGAATGAGAGACTTGGAAAAGAAAAAGACACAGAGACAAAGTATAGAGAAAGAAATAAGGGGACCCAGGGAACCAGCGTTCAGCATATGGAGGATCCCGCCAGCTTCTGAGTTCCCTTAGTATTTATTGATCATTCTTGGGTGTTTCTCTGAGAGGGGGATGTGTCAGGGTCACAAGACAATAGTGGGGAGAGGGTCAGCAGACAAACACGTGAACAAAGGTCTTTGCATCATAGACTAGGTAAAGAATCAAGTGCTGTGCTTTTAGATATGCATACACATAAACATCTCAACGCTTTACAAAGCAGTATTGCTGCCCGCAGGTCCCACCTCCAGCCCTAAGGCAGTTTTTCCCTATCTCAGTAAATGGAACGTACAATCGGGTTTTATACCGAGACATTCCATTGCCCAGGGACGGGCAGGAGACAGATGCCTTCCTCTTGTCTCAACTGCAAGAGGCATGCCTTCCTCTTATACTAATCCTCCTCAGCACAGACCCTTTACGGGTGTCGGGCTGGGGGACGGTCAGGTCTTTCCCTTCCCACGAGGCCATATTTCAGACTATCACATGGGGAGAAACCTTGGACAATACCTGGCTTTCCTAGGCAGAGGTCCCTGCGGCCTTCCGCAGTGTTTGTGTCCCTGGGTACTTGAGATTAGGGAGAGGTGATGACTCTTAAGGAGCATGCTGCCTTCAAGCATCTGTTTAACAAAGCACATCTTGCACAACCCTTAATCCATTTAACCCTGAGTTTGACACAGCACATGTTTCAGAGAGCACGGGGTTGGGGGTAAGGTCATAGATTAACAGAATCTCAAGGCAGAAGAATTTTTCTTAGTACAGAAGAAAATGGAGTCCCCTATGTCTACTTCTTTCTACACAGACACAGTAACAATCTGATCTCTCTTGCTTTTCCCCACAACTTGGGTCATATGATCCAACAGATCCAATGCTTTTGAAGTATCAGTGACAGATGGGGATTCTGTTTAGAGACTTTGGTAGGCCCTTTTATGGGAATCACAGGGCTTATCCTTAGGATTTTAGAAGATGACTTGTCATTTTCTGCCAAAAATTACTCCCCTTCTCCTAGTTACTGAAACTCAGCAGAGACTGAATGTTTTATCATGAACCACCAAGTTACCGTGCAGCCTGAGTTGCCCATGATGATGCACGTATTGTCTAATCTACTAATAAATGCAAGCATACAAGGCACTACTTTTGTAGATTATACATGATTGGGCTCAAATTTGTCATGAATACGTAAGTAAGTAATGTAAAGTGGCATAAATGATCATGGCCACTACTCCTACTACCTTCTCTTTTCTCTCTTAGACCATACTTAGGGCCTCATGGGGAGTTCTTTATGACCAGTTGACTGAGAAAATGAAAACTAAAGCCCAATTCATGGATGGTTCTGCATGACATACAGGCACCATGGAAGCTTGTGTGGACAGTTGTAGCATAACAGATCTTTTCTGGTACATTCCTGAAGGATAGTGGTGAAAAAAACTTCTCCCAGTGGCAGAATTTCAAGCAATACACCTGTTTTTCACTTTCATCTATGAGGAGAAATCAAGAGAAGTAAGAATGTAATATGATTTATAATATGAATGGTTTGGTGGAATGGTCAGGGATTTGAGGGAATACAATTGGACGTTGGTGACAATGAGATCTAGGAAAAATGTATATGGGTAGGCCTCCCTGAATAGGCAAAGAGTTTGAAGATAGCTCTGACCCATGTTAATGATCACTAAAGGCAACCTCAGCAGAAAATTATCTTATTAATCAAGTCAATAAAATGAACTGCCATTTCCCCAGTCAGCCTCTTTCTCTAGCCACTCTCCTCTCATCGCCCAGTGGTCCCATGAAGGAAGTGACTTTGGTGGCAGGGATAGAGGTTACACATGGGGTCAACAACATGGACTCCTACTCACTAAGGCTGACTTTGCTACAGCCACTGCTTGTGTTCATTCTGCTATCAGCAGAGATCAACACTGAGTTCTTAACATGACACTATTCATTGGATTGGTGTGCCTTGTGGCATATTGATTACATTAGATCATTTCCACCATGGAAAGGGCAGTTCTTTGTTCTTAGTGGAATACCCATTCTTGTTATTAGTTTACTTTCAAATGCAATGTCTCAGCCAATATAACCACCCATGGATTAACAAAATGCATTATCCATTGTTGTGGTATTTGAAATCACATTGCTTCTGATCACGAAATTCACCTTATAACAAATGAAGTGCAGCAATGTGTCACAAATGGTGCTTTTGCCATTTTCTCCAATATCCTGAAAGCAGTTGACTTGATAGAAAAGTGAAATAGCCTTTTGAAAACTCAGTTATAGCACCAGCTAAGTGGCTGCGCATTGCAGGGCTGGGTAATGTCTTCCATGACATTGTATAATCTTTACATCAGCGTTCAGTATACAGTGCTGTTTTCCACATAGCAAGAAATTGTGAGTCCAGGAATCAAAGGGTGGAAATGGGAGTGTTTGCTTACGCTAGGAGACACAACAGTGATTCCGCTGAATTGGAAGTTAAGACAGCTGTCTGGCTGCTTTGGGCTCCTTATGCATTTGAATGAACAGTCAAGGAAGAGTGTTACTATACTGGCTGGGGTGACTGATTGTAATTAACAAAGAGTTATTGGGCTGCAATGGAGGCACAATGGAAGTAAGCAAGAGTATGTCTGGAATATAGGGAATCCCGTAGGACATCTCTTTGTACTATCATGTTCTGTGATTAAAATAAATGGAAAACTCCAATAGCCCAATTTATACAGGACAGCTAATAGCCCAGACACCTCAGGAATGAAGGTTTGGGTCACCCCTCCAGGCAAAGAATCACAAGCAGCTTAGGTACTTGATGAGTGCAAAGGGAATAGAGAATGCATGGTGGATACTTGCTCTTAATTGAAGTTTCATTTCTTATATTTTAAAATTCACTTCTAAAATAAAAAAAAACTTCATTCTAATAAATCAAGTAATTATCTGAAAATCATATGACTAGTAAGTGGCAGATTCTGAAATGTAATCCATGATTCACAGCATGTTAAAAAAAAGTGGTGATTAAGTACAAAAATTTGTTAAAAGAAAAATAAAATGCATTAGTTTATAGTGTTAGCTTAACATTAGCAATTAGAACTGGCCAGTTAGAAAGTGGATGCAAAAAGTTTGCAGAAGCTACTAATGGTAGTGTAATTCCCCCTGTGTCTTGTTAAATAATCAAACCATGGACTGCTACGATAGCTGAATTTAAGTGTGAGGACAAACACCAAATTAAAGAAGTCCCCTGCAGAGAGCAGAGGCAGACACCTAAATTTCACACATTGCTGAAGATATAAAAAATTCATAGCAAAGAATTTTTAGAAGAGAAATAGCAAATCACTAGGGATTGAAGCTTCCAAACTTCTAAAAGCCCAAACAGCTTGCTGCCTTCTATCTTGTAGCAAGTTCCAGAGCCTCCAGGGCTTATTACACTTCCATGATTCCATGAATATTGTCTTATAGGTTAATGACTTTAAGAATAAGAAATCCTGAGCTATATTTCTCAAAGGCAAATGTATATGATGATTAGCAAGGAGGGGTTTTCATATATTTTAAACTATTCATGGAGAAAAATAAGTTGGAGAATATTTATAGGTTCATCAGGAAAATAATGATCTGAATTCATGCTGGCAGTATTTTTCTTTTTTTATTATTTTATTTTTTTAAGTTCTGGGGTACATGTGCAGGATGTGCAAATTTGTTACATAGGTAAACATGTGCCACGGTGGTTTGCGGCACCTATCAACCCATCACCTAGGTATTAAGTCTAGCATGCATTAGCTCTTTTCCCTAATGCTTTCCCCACCTCCTACCCGCCCCACACCTGACAGGCCCTAGTGTGTATTGTTCCCCACCATGTGTCCATGTGTTCTCACTGTTCAGCTCCTACTTATAAGTGAGAATATGTAGTATTTGGTTTTCTGTTCCTGCATTAGTTTGCTGAGGATAATGGCTTCCACCTTCATCCATGTCCCTACAAAGGACATGATCTCATTACTATTTATGGCTGCATAGTATCCCATGGTGTATATGTACATTTTCTTTATCCAGTCTGTTATTGATGGGCATTTGCGTTGATTCCATGTCTTTGCTATTGTCAATAGTGCTGCAATAAACATAAGTGTTCCTGTATCTTTATAAGAGAATGATTTATATTCCTTTGGGCACATACCCAGTAATGGCATTACTGGGTTAAATGGTATTTCCGGTTCTACATCTTTGAGGAATCACCACACTGTCTTCCACAGTTGGTTGAACTAATTTACATTCTCACCAACAGTGTAAAAAGTGTAGTATTTTTCTTATATTAAGTAATATCCACCTCCACAACCTAAGAACCAAACTACTTCCCTGACCTAGCAAAACCAGCTAAATTCAGGCTATGGTTATATTAGCAACATTTCCTGGTCAGTGGGTCTCCATGTAACTTCAGAAAATGCAGAAGCCTAGAATTATGAAAATAGGTACTCATATATCCCTGCCAGTAATCTGAATCACCTGAATACAACTCTTTCTTTATTTGGGAAGTAAACATTTTCTTACTCTGTGTCTCGGTGCTTTACCCATGAAACAAAATCCATTATCCACAGTGTCCACTTAATAAGAATGTTATCGTTATAACTTTAAAAAGATCTATTTCCCCCAATGATATGCTACTGAAAAAGAATTACAAATGCATTAATTTTAAAAGTTATTAAGCTCTAAGAGTCATGCCTTCAAAGATTTTAAATGTGTAAACCCCTTTACATATTGCAATGTTTTTATAAAGTGAGTGCAATCACATTCCCATGAAATGTCAAACTTTTCCAAGACTTTGTAGCTGATAAGAGACAAAACCAGGATTCCAAACTGGTATAGTCTGACTTTATAGGTTTTGCTTTTTTAGCCTTATGCTATTGATAATTGACATTCAATCAAAAGTCAATAATATTGACATAATATAATTGTGTAAATATTTTATTCAAAAATTAAAACTAGTAATTCTATTTAGTAAACACAAATGGACATTCACAATGAAGGCTTTGTACATTATTGAATAGTTATGTGCCATTGGGACAAATCCCAAAAATGACATCTCAACTCCTAGGTTCTTGACAATGACTTAAATACCAATATTACTTTTTAGCTTGTTTGGATTTGATAAAATAGAGAATGTTATTTACCACCCACAATGGTACTGATAAGACTGATGGTGAATGAACCAATGAAGGATCATTTGGTTTCAATTGATAAAACTTACTTAGACTGATTTAAATAATAATCACATTTCATTCTGGAAAACACAAGGACGTACATTCTCCAGGTTTAAAATAGAAAGTAAACCCAGCATCCAAGTTATAGAGTACTTTTGTGTCATTTTCAAAACCTGGCTTCTTAGCTCTGATTTTTTTTTGTATCTTTCAATTTCATGTTTATTTTCCCATGGAATGAACTCTTTCTACTTTGTCATGCACATGGTAGAAGATATCTGTTTCAGTTATATTGTCTAAATGTCTCTGATCCAAGGAATCAGCAGAGACCAACCTAAATTCCAAATTACCAAGAAAGGGGTACTTTTCTTGAGTCAATGTCGACCTCTTGTCTCGTCAGCTATGGTCAGGTTAAGTGGAGTCAAATAGTAAAAATATGGCCTTCTGCAATCACCTATAGGAACTAGGAGAAAGCGTGTTTTAACCTGGAAAATATTTAGATGTTATTTATTTATTTCAAAGTACATTCTGAAGAGCAGCTTTCAGAGGAATTTTGTAACAGAAATTGCTGAAAATAATAGATGCACTCAGGATGCTGTTTAAACTAAAATACTACCTTGTTCAGGATATACCACAGAAAATGGGGTATGTAGTGATACTCACTTAAAGACCTAAATAATTTAAAAGTATTCCAGAAATATTTACTTACGCCGCTATATTTTCTCCCCTTGAATAAAGCCAAAAGCCTATGGAATTAATCTAAGTGAATATTTAAGGGACAATTTCATTCATTTTATCCTTGTTATATTTTAATGTAGATTGTCTCACTCTCAACCAAAAATAACTGAGTCAAATGATTTCAGGAACCAAGAACAGAGAATAAATAATTGAATCAGCATGCTGTTAACATAACTGGGAGGGGCAAATGTTGAATGATTCAATTTGGGACGTCATTCAGACTAAGAAAAGCATATAGATAGACCAGATTAAACCCTGCCTTCCCCAGGTTTACTGTCCTCATTCTGAAGAGTGATGTTCAAGCTATATTTCTGATTAAGTCCATTTAGAAAATGTTTTATCAATATAGTCAATTAAATAAGAGAGAGACGCAAAGCTGTATAAAAAGCTCTATCTTTCAATTTCATGTTTATTTTCCCATGAAACGAACTTTTTCTGCTTTGTCATGCACATGGTAGAAGATATCTGTTTCACTTATATTGACTAAATGTCCCTGATACAAGGAATCAACAGATCCATAAATAGCAAATGTTGGTATCTGATGTGTCACAGGTTTCCATCAAACATTACTGCATTTTCCTTTCCATGCAAAGGCAAGAAATCCACATGCATGCTTGTTTTTCTTTTTCTGAGTCATACAAGCACATATAAAGCAACAGATACTGGGAAAATATTAGATCACAAGAATAGAACTGCATATGGTAAATATTAGAAACAATACAACGAATGCCATCTTAAAATTCTCTATTTGTTTCAATTTAATAAAATGGAATTAGGAAGAGGAATACAGCAGGTTTCACATGCATTTTTTTAAACTGAAGCATGTATGACTGAATGTTAGAAATTGAGAGAGATGAGTAGTGGCACACAGTGTTGTTTATGCTTTTATTTTTCTGGCAACTGAAATATTTAATAAATTATTTAAACATTTAAAAATCATTAAATGAACACAACATTTATAGCAGGCTGACTTAAGAATACTATCTTTATGTCATATTTATCTATATATTTTCCACTTTACTTTTGCCTCATAGTCTTTATTTTAAAATTTGTATTTATTTTTAATTTGTAAAATATTTTAATTGACAAATAACTGTATATATTCATGGTGTACATAGTAATGTTTCAATATATATAATGGGTGATCAGATCAGGATGTTTAGCATATTGATAATCTCAAACACTTATCATTTCTTTGTGCTGGGAATATTCCATAACCTCCTTCTAGCTATTTGAAACTATGAAGTGCATAACTGTTAACTATAGTCATCCTATAGTGCTATAGAACACTCAAAATTATTTCTCCAATCTAGATGTAATTTTGTATCTTTTAACAAATCTCTCCCTATCCTCACCTTTCCCCTACCATCCTCAGCCTCTGTTCTACTTTTTACATCTAGGAGATCAACATTTTTAGCTTCTGCATATGAGTGAGAACATGTAAGATCTTTACCTTTCTATTCATGGCTTATTTCACTAACATGTTCCCCAGTTCCATCCACTTGCCACAAATGACAGGATCCCATTCTTTTTTATGGCTGAATAGTACTCCACTGTGTATATATGCCACGTTTTCTGTATCCATTCATCTGTTGTTGGACACATAGGTTGATTCTATATCTTGGCTATTGTGGATAGTGCTGCAGTAAACATGAGGAGGGTACAGATGTCTCTTCAACATAATGATTTCCTTTCCTTTGAATAAATTCCCAGTAATGGGATTGCTGGATTATATGGTAGTTCTATTTGTAGTGGTTTTGAGGACACTCCATACTATTCTTCATAGTGGCTGTGCTAGTTTACATTCTCGCCAAGAGTGTATGAATCTCCTTTTCTCTGCATCTTCACCACCATTTGTTAATTTAGGTTGTTTTTTTTTTCTTCTAATATTAGCCATCCTAAATGGGGAGAGATGATACTTCTTGTGGTTTTAAGTTGCATTTGCCTGTTAATTAATGATGTTGAGCATTTTTTCATATATTTTTTGGTCACTTGCAGGTCTTCTTTAGAGAAATATCTATTATGATCATTTGCCATTTTTAAATCAGATTTCTTTCTTTCTCTATTTTTTTTTTTTTTTTTTACTGTTGAGATGCTTCAGTTTCTTGTATATTCTGTATATTCTGGATATTAAGTCCCTGTTAAATGAGTGCACAAAAGTTTCCTCACACTCTGTTGATGATTGTTTTCTTTTTTGTCCAGAAGCTGTTTTGTCTGATATAATCCCATTTGTTTATTGTTGCTTTTGTTTGTGCTTTAAAAATTTTCCCCAACCTCCTATCCTAAAGAATTACCCCTATTTCTTCTTCTAATCAATTTATTGTTTTGG
Source organism: Homo sapiens (assembly GCF_000001405.40). Taxonomy (NCBI): domain Eukaryota; kingdom Metazoa; phylum Chordata; class Mammalia; order Primates; family Hominidae; genus Homo; species Homo sapiens. The sequence continues at coordinate 18,571,064 of NC_000005.10, read as the reverse complement.
TTCTTACATTTAGATCTTAGATCCATTTTGAATTGATTTTTGAATAGGGTAAGAGGTGAGGTTAAACCCTGCCTTCCCCAAGTTTACTGTCCTCATTCTGAAGAGTGATGTTCAAGCTATATTTCTGATTAAGTCTATTTATAAAATGTTTTATCAATATGGTCAGTTAAATAAGAGAGATAGGCAAAACTGTATAAAAAGCTCTATCATTCAATTTCATGTTTCATGTTTTCCCCCGGTTTTAACAGTACATATGAAATTATATATTTCATTATATATCCAAACTTCCCATTACAGAAGTAACTCTGTGTTTTCTCACTTTGATTCACCAAACTTTTCAAACAATTAGTGTTGTTGTTGTTGTTGTTTTTTAATGGACAAGATCAGGCACATTGTATGGAGTGGGCAAAAACATGAACAGACATTTCTCAAAAGAAAACATACAGTTGACCAACAGGTCTATGAGAAAGTGCTCAACATCACTAATTATCAAGGAATTACAAATCAGATTATATATATAATATATTTTGTATAGGGTGAGAGGTAGTTTCATTTTTCTGCATATGGACATCCGGATTTCCAGCATCATTTATTGAAGACACTGTCTTTTTCCCAAAGAGAATTCTTGGTGCTTTTGTCAAAAATAAGTTGGCGATAGACAGGTGGATTAATTTCTGAGCTCTCTATTCTGTTCTGTTGGTCTATGTGTCTGTTTTTATGCAAGCACTGTGGTGTTCTGGTTACTAAAGCTTTGTGGTGTATTTAGAGGTATGGTAGTGTAATACCTCCAGCTTTTTTCTTTTAGCTTAGGATTGAAGCTAAGAAAAAATACGTTAAAACCAAATAAATCTCAGCAAACTAATTCTCTGGCATTAATTCTTCTTAAAACTGCTCATTTGCATATTCCTCCCCAAAAAGATATGCCCAAAGGACACAATTGTTTACCAACTTGATGTGGATTCCACATTATCACTTTTCTCTCTTTCTGCGGAGGTTTTTCATATCAATTAATAGTTTCACATGGAAGGGGAAAAAATTAAAAATATTCATATTCTATTAGCATTCACTGAATGGTTAGAATGGTATTAGTCCGTTCTCACACTTCTATGAAGAGATACCTGAGACTGGGTAATTCATAAAGAAAAGAGGTTTAATTGACCCACAGTTCCTCATGACTGGGGAGGCCTCAGGAAACTTAAAATCATGGAGGAAGGCACCTCTTCACAGGGTGACAGGAGAAAGAATGAGAGATGAGAGAAGGGGAAAGCCCTTTACAAAACCATCGTATCTCATGAGAACTCACTATTATGAGAACAGCACGAGGGTAACTGCCCCCATGATTCCATTATTTCCCACTGGGTTCTTCCCATGACACATGGGGAATATGGGAAATATAATTCAAGATGAGATTTCGGTGGCGACACAGCCAAACTATATCACCAAGGTACTTGAATATGGGAAATACAATTCAAGATGAGATTTTGGTGGAGACACAGCCAAACTATATCGCCAAGGTACTATGTTCAATGATTTCCCATATAATTTCATATGTCCTATAATACTCAAATATCAATCAGTAGTGTTTTTCATAACAAATCAGTCACTACTATTCTTTAGGCTTATTTTATTTATATAGACTTCAAGACCAATATGAAAAATAAATTCTTATTAGATGCTTTTAGATCATATAGCAGAGACCAGAAAAAAATCAGAAGAAATTATATAATCTTAATTTTTTCCTAAAATATGTATGGGTAGAAGGTTAAAAAAAGGCTGCAATATACAAACAAACAGTAGTAGTAGTAGTATATAACGTGTTCTCAGAGACTTAATTTTGCTAATTTGAAATACTGTTTGGAATGATGAACTAAGAAGACCTCTAATTAGCATTCAAGATGGCCATTTAAGAAAACTGTGACATCAAAAATTCAACCTTACTAGAGATGAGACCTTTATATTATAAGAATTCCTAAAGAGCCCTAAGAGAAGTTTTTGCAACCATCTTTATACTATTTAAATGCAATTGCTCCATTTCATATTGAGATGTCAGTTGCCCAACTCATTAAATATATTGAAAATTGCTAATAGGTTGAAATTTTAATTAAGGTTTCTCCGCATTGGAAGATTAAGAGTTCATGGAGCGAAAACCCAGAGAAAGCTGTCTGATCATGATATTTAGCACTAAATCCCACGTTTATAACTGGAATTCATAAAAAAGGACTGCATTCCAAAAAATAAAACTTAACTCATTAATATTATTACAACTTTTATAATCGTTATTCTTTGAAGTTATCTAATTTAGGTAAATCATATGTTGTATCCAAACTTCCCATTACAGAAGTAACTCTGTGTTTTCTCACTTTGATTCACCAAACTTTTCCAACAATTAGGTTTGTTGTTGTTATTGTTTTTAATGGACAAGATCAGGCACATTCAGGGTTGTATGGAGTTGGCAAAAACATGAACAGACGTTTCTCAAAAGAAGACATGCAATTGACCAATAGGTCTATGAAAAAGTGCTCAACATCACTAATTATCAAGGAAATACAAATCAAAACCATGATGAGCTATCTCACCCCAGTTAGAATGGCTATTATTAAAAATACAAAAAAAAACCAATGTTGTCAAGGATGTGGAGAAAAGGAATGCATATACTGTTGGTAAAAATGTAAATTAGCACAGCCACTATGAAAAGCAATTTGGAGATTTTTCAAGAAACAAAAATGGATGTACCATACAATCCAGAAATCCCAGTATTGTGTATCTACCCAATAGAAATCAGTATATAAAAAATATACCTGTGCTTACATGTTTATTGGAGCACTATTCACAATAGTCAAGAATATGGTTTGGCTCGGTGTCCCCACCACATCTCGTCAAATTGAAACCCCCAGTGTTGCAGGTGGGGCCTGGTGGGAGGTGACCCAATCATGGGGGTGAAATTCTCATGAATGGGTTAGCGCCATTCTCTTGGTGCTGTTCTTGTGATAGTGAGTGAGTTACCCTGAGATCTAGTTGTTTTAAAGTGGGTTGCACCTCCCTCTTCTCTCTCTTCCTCCTGCTCCTGCCATGTAAGACATGGTCTTTCTCTCACTTTGCTTTCTGCTGTAGGTAAAAGCTCCCTGAGGCCTCCCTGGAACCAGCTGCTGCCATGTTTTCTGTACAGCCTTCAGAACCCTGAGCCAATTAAACCTTTTTTCTTTATAAATTACCCAATCACACCTATTTCCTTATACAGAGTGAGAACTGACTAATGGAGCCAAGATTTGAAATCAACCTAAGTGTCCATCAATGGATGAATAAATAAACAAAATTTGGTATATATGCAAAATGAAATACTATTTGGCCACTAAAAAGAATGAAGTCATGTCATTTGCAGCAACATGGATGAAACTGGAGATCATGTTGTTAAGTGAAATAAGCCAGGCACAGAAAGGCAAATATCACATGCTTTCACTTACTTACGAGTTCTAAAAAAGCTGATGTCATGGAGGTAGAGAGTGGAATGATAGATATCAGAGGCCTAAAAAGGTATAGGGGGTGAGGGAGGGAATGAAGATAGGTTGGTTAATGCATACAAACCAGCAGATAAAAGGAATAAGTTCTAATGTTCAACAGCAGAGTAGGGTGACTATAGTTAACAACAAAGTATTGTATATTTTGAGATATCTAAACCAAAGAACTTGAAATGTTCCCAGCATTTAAAAATGCTAACTATTTGAGGTGATGAATATGTAAATATTCTGATTTGTCATTATACATTCTATGCATATAACAAAATATCACATGAAACCCATAAATGTGTACAAATATCAGGTATCAATAAAAAAATTTTAAAAGGAAAAATGCAAGAAAAATTCAAATTATTTTAATATTTAGGAAAAGTAATAATTATAAAATAACTTACTAACTACAAAAGAAATAATATTCATAATGGGTGCTAATATTCAATGAGAACTCTTCCCATACATTTTACTAACGGTTTTGTATTTTTGACTGATTCAATTCTTACAATAATCTTATCAACTAAATGTAATTATTATTTGCATTTTACTAACAAGAAATATACTTGGCTCACAGCCACTGTCCTCTTCAATTGTGAAGTTAGAAATAAAATCCAGACATCTGTCTCCCAGAGTTCCACTCTTTCTTTTATGATTACATCTATTTTTAAGTCCATTAACATTAGAAAATTGAAGCCAAAAAGTATAATGTCTGCTTCATGATAATGGCTAAATCTCTTGGTGGGGGAGGTGTGCTGACATGATTTAAAATGTTTCCTCATACAGATTTCTTTATAGTTGCAAAGAGAAATAATAACTGTGCAGTGAAGAACAATGCCTTGACCAGATGATTAAAGTAACAGTAAAAGGGTAGATAGACATCATGTGCTTCAGAATATCTTACCCTGAGAATGACACAATGACATGTATGTGGTATTTTGCTTGGAATGCCTACCCTGAATATAATAATAATAAATTATTATAAAACTGAAAATGAGAAATATTTTATGTAAAAAAGGTGGGTTTGTTATTTTTAAAAATTAATGTCAAAAAGACCAAGGAAGACTAATTCTTTGCAATTAAAGAAGAATAAAGAAATTGACAAGTAAAGAAAACACCTGATCTTAGATTTGTTCCTGTAATGGAGGAAAATAATTACTGTAAAGAAGATCATTGGGTCACATAACATAATTAGAATATAAACAGTAGATTAGGCAAGAGTGTTGCATCAATGCTAAATTGTCAGAAGTTGATAATGGTTCTGTGGTTATATAAGAAAAGATATTATTCTTAGTGTGTTCTGAAGATTTAACTCAGTAGACATTATATTCTTGGTATAGATTTTTTATTTTTTTTCCTTGTCACACTTGGTTTTTAATTTTTTTTCCTTGTCACACTTCAAAGATATGATTTTGCTTTCTAATGAATATAAATATATTCTATTATAAAATTGGCTATGAGTGTCCCTTTGAAAATTGTCTTCTTTTCCCCTTTGGCTACTTTACAAATTTTCTTTTTAATCTTTGGTATTTAGCAATTTAACAATGACGTGCCTAAAGAATTTTCTATATGTCTATCCTTCTTGAATCTGTTGTTCTATCACTCAACAGTATCAGAAAACTCACAGATAATATTTGTCCAAATATTGCTTTTGTAACAAGCTTTTTTCCAATCCTTTTCTATCTACCTCTAAAAACAACGTGTTCCACGTTATTTATTTCTTAAGCTCTTTCATGTGTTTTCAAATTTTTTCCTCTGTTTCAATTTATCTCTTATTATTTTATCTTCCGTTTTCTGGACTGTCTTCTGCTATGCCTAACCTGCTCTTGAATGCCTCCATTGAGTCATTAATTTAATCTGTTAAAATTTCCACATATAGAATTTCCATGTGATTTTTGCAATCATCTGGCAAAATTATTCACAATTTTAACATATTTCCTACATCTTTTTTCTGTATCTTTTTGAGCATGTTATAGCTGAGGTTTCATTGAGATTCTGGGTTCTTTTCATCCAACTTGCCTCACAACCAAACTAGCAATACCCAGCAACAAATATTGGCTGCAGCCCCACATTCTGAGATGAAGTTTCCCTAAGTCCTGGTTTCATCAGTAACTCCCAGATTTGTTTGAACATATCTCTTTTTTCTTTTCTTCTTACTTAATTAGGTTTTTTAATTCTCACTACAAGTGTTGTATTCTGTGCTACTCCATTGTAGCTGGACATAGACATCTGATTTTGTGAGTTTAATTCATTGATTCCACAGAACTCTCTCTCTCTCTCTCTCTCTCTCTCTCTATATATATATATATATACACACACATATATATACACATATATATACACACATACACACAGGTGTATATATACACACATACATGTATTTATATTTATATTTATGTTTATATTATAAATTAATTATTTGCAGAAAAGGAGTCTCACAATTTTGCCCAGGCTGATCTCGAACTCCTGGCCTCAAGTTATCCTCCCTCCTGCCTTGGTTTCCCAAAATGCTAGGATCACACTCGTGAGCAAACATGCCTGGCTACAAAACTATATTTGACACTGTTTGACCCTAGGTACTATTCCATATGCATGTTTTTATAAATGAAGTAAAAAAGCAAAAAGAATGAAAGCTAGTGACAATATCCTTTCATATTATTTTTTTTTAAATTTTCTCTCTCAATGCATAAGGAAGTTACATGTATGAGCCTAAAATAATGTTGACCTATGTTTTAATTTCTCATTTCCTGAAAGATAATCATGTATAATTGAATTTAAAATATATGATTTTCAGTGTTATGTCTTTGAAATATTAATTTGAACACCTCACAGGAATATGAAAATATAAAATCAAATATGGTACGTAAAACATTTGGTTGATTTTCCCAAGCATACTGAGAGTTCAATAAATGATAGTAGGTGAATTCCCAGGCTTAACTCATTTTACAGAACAAAAATTATGGGAAGTGATATTCAGTAACAGTGGAAAATTGTTTGAAAATTAATTTTCATCTGAGAAAAGAGCAATTGGCACTTTGATTTTGGAGGAAACACTCATTTGCTTGTTTGGAAAAAAGTACTAAATCTAAACATATCACAAAGTTAAATAAACTTTGTCAACCTAAAGGCAGAAGCTGAGGCACAAAATATAATTTCAATGAATTTACTTGAGCTAAATCTAAGAAAATTGCCCAGAAGACTCAGATCCAAGTAACCTTGGATATAAGCTCCTGTTCAGTTCAGCCTTTATTACAAGCAGGTAGCAAAGACCAAAAAAAGTAGGTGGAAGAGCAGGGGAGACAAGGAGTGGGCTGATGCAAAGTTGTTTGTCAGGATTTTCATTGGTTTACAGAAGTAATACTGATCAGTGACTGGCTACACATTGTTGAACTACAGGGTATGAGTTATGGTGTCTAGCATGTGGCATGGTTTGGGTAATTTATACAGTCAGTCTAGAGTCTACATAGTAACCGCTTCAAGAGAATAACTTGGTTAAAGGCGGCATCTGGGACATGAGGCTGCCTCATTCCTGTGCCTCTAGGGGCCTGATCATTTACAGGAGGCTTGCATTCCTCAGATAAAAGGTTGTTGTTTTTTTTTTCTTTTTTTCTTTCTCAACTTGAATTTATATCAGGTATTCTATTTTTCCTTTAGTTAGTAGGCTTGATTCTAATACTTCTTAAATGGTTCCCTTTGAATATTGTTTTCAAAAACAGTTGTATCATTATAAATCTTAGTTATCTCAATTATATTTATTTGACTTTTGGAATTATGTATGCCTGAAATCTGTGCAAGATATTAATCATATCCCACAGTAGTTTAAACAAGGAGTATAATGACAAATATCTGAGGTGATGAACCAATTAACTACCCTGATTTGATAATTCCACAATGCATACATGTATAATTATATGAAAATATTATATATAAAAATATGTAAAACTATTGTTTGTCCATTAAATTAAAAAAAAATTGTTACTATAATGAATGATCAATTTATATATTCTTGGAAGAAAATCTATAATAACTATTCTACTCACCCAAAATAAGAAAAGAACAAAAGTTCAACACAGTTTTTAAAATGTACCTATGTTATCTATACATAATGTCATTTGATTTTGATTCATTCATTTATTTTAGAGTTTCCTTAGTACTTTTCATGTATGACTGAATATTTAGGATCTTATGACAAACAAAACAATAAGATCTCTCTTCATGTACTTGCTTTGCATACTACTTGAGGAAACAAAAAAAATCAGTAAACATGTAAGTAAATATGAAGATTTCAGTTCAAATCCTATAAATACAATTGAACAAATAGAGTAAAATGAAATAAATATGTGAAATATTATTTTATAGAGGTTAAAATATACCAAAAGTGGCAATTCTATGAGAGATTTGGTGAGGTATAACCCGACTGTAATGAAATATCAAGTCACACAAACATTTAAAGGAAGATGCCAGCAGCTGCACCAGTTAGTCCCAAGGCCCTGACGTGGGAATATGCTTTAAATGGTCAAGAAACCAAAAGAAAAACAGCCTAAATATAGTTAAAGTGGAGGAGGGTGTTAGATACGTGAAATTAAAGTACTAATGGTAGACCAGAAGATCTTAATGTTGTGAGGACCATGATAAGGAAATGAAAGTTATTGAAGAGATTTTAGCAGGGTGAAATGTGATGTGATCTGTAATTTTATACAGTGATTCTGGTCTCCAGGTAGAAAATAGTACATTAGAGGACAAGAGAGGAAACAGGAGGCTTTTGACAGGGAAATGTAATAATCAGTGTGAGATATCAATGGGGTTTCAGAGGACGGAGAAAGAAGAGGAGCTGACTGCAAAAACAAAATGGGTCATCTAAACCATATATGTCATTACAAAAGCCACTATATGTGGTAACTTGCAAATGTAAATCACATGTTTTCTGTTGACTCTCAAACTGAATAGACAAATCTGAAATTTAGGGAACAATTGCCGATTGAGATCAATACTTCAAAACTAAGTATGAATAAATATTCCATATTATTTCATTATTTTTGCATATATCCAAAGACTATTGACTTGTTTAATAAGTAAAATGATTGTATGGACTTTTTATTAAATAATTTTTAGAATTGTGCATTTTTCCCCAAAGCATATAAAGAATTAGCAGTTTTCAAATATTGGAAGATTAATGAGAGGCATTTATGTATTAATACTATGATCACCTTGGAGATAATATTGTATAAATGAGAAGATGAGGAAAAATATGTTAGTACAAAATTTCTTTTCAAATATGTTACTTTTCATCTTTCACACTGAATTACCTAAACAAATGACATATAATTTAAAGCTTATTCATTTTCTCCTTATTGTTTTGGTGTTAGTAAGTTTGGAGCATATTAGACAGCAGTTTTGGGAATATTGAACTAATGTTTCTCAAATGACGTATTATTCAAAAAATAAAGGAAGACTTTAAGCTAAAAGATTTCAAATATGTTGTTGAAGGACATATGAGACCATATCTGCATAGAATTAATGAGCTGCCTAAGGCCAGTATCATTTTAATCTCTTTCTCAAGTTCTTAATCCTCTAAATTTAAAATGCCGTATCTTTCAAAAGTTCTAATGCCTATTTACATTCCAGATATTACAAGATATTCACATTTCACTGTCACTTTTATGAAACAAGTTTGAGAAGTCTTTGTGATGAAAAGTAACAAACGTGTTTTAAGATATCCCTGAATTCTTGGAAAATTGTCTTCTATTTATTCTAAGAATGGGCATACCTATACTTTAGATAGCTATTATAAAAGCAGCAGAGTCTGGGTAAATTGTGACATTGCAAATTTGTCAGTAGAAGTAACGTGAATTGTTTGTAAAAATCAGTCTGCATCATATGATCGATGAAACCCTCAAAGTGCCTGATTTTATCATTAAATACTTTAGTCTAATAAAATGCTCCTATGGATGAAATAAATGATGCTACTCTGTAGTAGATAGTGTTTGTTGTCAAGAAGTAATAAATAGGAATCAAATACAATGTTCTATGAACATTTTTACTGAGCAGAAAGCAAAATAGAATTAAATATATATACACACATATATATATATACATATGTGTGTATACGTATAGCCGTGTGTGTATATATATACACACACAAACACACATACATATTGAAGATTAGAAAACTATGTGTGTGTATATATATACACTCACATACATATTGAAGATTAGAAAACTAGCTGTTGTGCCAAAATGAAAGGTAATTTAAGACAATAATCAAATTAACCATTTCAATTTTTAATGGTGAATGAAAATAAAATTGCAGAACTGAAAACTGAGGAGTAGGAGATGGTTTTATTACTTTTTGCAGATTTCAAGAACAGAAAAATTCTTTAAATAAAACTTAATATTTGAAATCTGTCTTAATACTTGAAATATAGATTATTTGTGGGTATACATACAAAAAGTCATCATTGTCTTTCATTGCTATTATTTTCCCTAGAATATATTGTATGGTATACTCTTTTATTTTCCAAATTATAACTATTACTTCTTATTATGTCAGTGCATTATTTCACCCATTTAGATATAGACAGATGCATATAATCTGGATATAACTATTTTTTATTTATATAATTTAATAGTTTTCCACTTGCACTTTATATTCACACAATTTCATTATGCATTACTCACGTAACTGTTTCTCAGCCTATTTTATGTCAGTGAGTCACTTCTATCTTCCCTTTGGGCTCCCTTTCTTTTCTGCATTTGAATGAGAGTTCTTCTAAATGGAATTCTAGAGTCATAAATCTAAAAACAAATGGAAAGAAGTACCTTTGAAACATTCTGGGCAAAGGAGTACATGTATCATTTTTAAAAAGAATTTCAGAGTAGTTTTCTCAAATTTCTTGCTAACTTATACAGGCATTCCTATTGTTTCCATTACATTCAAATCAGGTATATTTTGAAAAATTACAAGCATATTTGCAAAATGCATTCATGTTAACATCATAAGAGAATTTAGTCCTTAAATGTATGTGTGCGTATATATATATATATATATATATATATATATATATATATATATATATATGTGTATTTGCATAACTTCCCCCAAACTAGATTCTGGATAAAAATCCTTATTGCTGCCCGGCGCGGTGGCTCACACCTGTAATCCCAGCACTTTGGGAAGCCGAGGCCGGAGGGTCACCTGAGGTCGGGAGTCCAAGACCAGCCTGAGCAACATGAAGAAACTCCTTCTCTACTGAAAATACAAAATTAGCTGGGCGTGGTGGCAGGTGCCTGAGGAGGCTGAGGCAGGACAATCGCTTGAACCTGGGAAGCGGACGTTGTGGTAGGCCGAGATCACACCATCGGACTCCAGCTTGTGGGACAGAGTGAGACTCCATCTCAAAAAAACAAAACAAAACAAAACAAAAGAAAAACCTTACTGCTGACTGTCTTTTATCATAATGTGCTAAAAGTTAAAGACAAGTTGGTAAAATAACTAAAGATAGGACTCTAACCTACATGAAATTAATTCATATTGAAAATATAACATTTCAATTGGTAACTCACAAATTAAATTGAAAAGAAATTATAAAACGTACTTGATAAGAAAAAGAGTAAGAGTTTTTAAGCTTTAAGATCTTTACATATTGCTCAAATAATTCAAATATTTCAGACAATAAAATGCCAAAAGGCTTTCAATGATTTTGAACAATTTAGACCTTGGGCAACCTAACAGACTTGTTGAAGCTTATACAACACAAATTTCCCTATGATCTGCATCAAGGTTATTTTTGTCAACGTGTATGTCAATTTTATGGAATTAAGCCCATTCCCATTTGCTCCGAGAATACTCGCTGGGGCCTGTGGCTGCAGTATTTACCCTGAGATAACACTGCTACAAAATATGTTGCTTTTATTATATTTTTCTCAGTGCTCTAGTATATTGACTTTGGAAACAAAAGACATTATTCTGTTTATAGCTTTCTGTGGTTAGTAGTGGTATTTCTATTTATAAAATATAGTAATTCTTGATCACTGAAAATGTCAAATCCTAGAAAATGTAGGATCCCTACTCATGACGTTAACATCATTCTCAAACGAGTGTTGGCTTAAGATTCATTTGATGAATCTGGTTTTTCCAAAATAGATGATTCTTATGATTCAGGCAATTCTGATGTTAGTTCTGTTTAGAAATAACTCGAAGAACAGTTTTAATATTTCATTTTTACATTGAAAACCAATCAGATATTCTTCAGCCTCAAAAAGTGTGTTTATGTAAAATTAAATGAGCGCTGGCAGCAAGTTGCCCTTTTTTTTTTTTCTAAACAGGAATAGGGTTAATTACAGGGCATATAGATTATGTCTCCAGTTTATTAAATATAGTAAGAAAGTTTCCTTGAACTCAATCTTTTTGTCATATTTTTTCTTCTGACATAAATGTTTTTTCCTCTTCTCTACATATATGGAATAAAAAAACTCAACAAACTACATATGTAAATTTGATAGTGCCAGCTTTCAAGGAATATAATATATGCATGTATTATGTATACACATATACATATCTATACACATTCATATAAATTGTATATTTCCTATTCAGTTCAAGCTTGACAAAAAAGTAATAAAAAGCCTATATTATTTTAGTTTATCAAATAATTGCTGTTCCTTTAATTTGCCCTTATCTATTAACTCAAAAAGAGAATTTTTTAAAAGAAAGACCTTATCAAACACATTAGTTTAACAATAGAAGCACTAAAATTTGTTTTAATCTAAAACAATGTCCACTTTAAATATCTATGTGAGAAATTTATTTCAGATCTCAGTAAAAGGAAAAACAATTTTGGCTTCATTTGTTGCTATTTTAAGGAAATCAACACATTTTAAACTAATTATTTTTCTCTGTATTTTTTACTTTGAAACTCAAGGCCACATGCTACCCTTGCTAGCACCTAACGGTATGCAGATTTCACACTAATTTTATTCCCCTTGTCATCTAACGTTTCTACTGTTGTTTCTCATGTTTAAATTTTGTCATTACATATTATGTGGTATAGAATACTGTAAGCAAATTATTTTATTTTTTTTTGTTTTTATATATTAATTATACAAAGTAAAGAGATATTGAGTAGGTAAAAATTTTCCAAAAATATGTTGTGCATATTTAGTATTCGTTGTACTCACACACTTCAGACTTTTAACTATTTAATGTTAGTTCAGTGATTAACTGTTGAACACATTTAGTGGATAATGTGAAGCTGGAATATGATATAAAAGTTCAAACACTAGCAGCAAAGGTACAGTTATGTAAGCACTTAGTCTAAGCCAGGGACTATTACACACTTTGTATGCATGTGTTTCATTTTATAAATGTCCTAAGATAGGTACTTACCATTTTCAAAATGATGAGATGAAGTGACCTGTAATCACAAAATTGGCAAGTTGTAGGACCAAAATTTTTATCTGGTATTCTTCAATTAAAAGTACAGGAGCGTCCTTAAAATTTTGCTTTTTTTTTTGATAGTTCAAGAGGGATAGCTATAGTGTCTATGTTTTATAGTTACTTGCATATTATTAAAATCCTTACTTTCTGAGTTGCAAACAGAAAGCTGACAAAACAAATGGAATATTGGTATCACATAGTCGTGTCTTTCATTTTTTTTCTCCACAAGTTAAAGTTATGAAGAAATCATTACAGTACAAATATATCATTGGACAAAAACTGAATTTCAAAATGCATAATTTAGAAAACTCTAGGAAACTTATCAAGAATTAAATATCCAAGAACCCCCAGGTAATCTCTTGGTGCTTCCTTCAGAAGAATAGCTAAAAAGGCTGGCTGGCTGTGATGATGACTTCCTGTCTCATAGTTGATGTTTCCTGGCTACTTAATAACATTCCTAGGGAAGGAGTCTTAAGAAGTTAAGCTTCTTAGATAAAGAAATTCTAGAGAGTCCCTCTCAGTGCTTCCAGAAAGGTGATCAGAGAGACACGGAGTCAGGCAAAAGGTCACAGAGGAACATTGTTTGGCAAGTTTATTTCTGAGTCCTTTCTATTTTCAAAGCACTCATCATGCTAAAGCCCTATATTTCCAGAAATTGTTTTTGTGCCCCAACATTCCCCCTGTCTAAAACTTCCCTAGAAGTTTCACACATTAAAAGCTGAGTTGGTGGCTGTGAAGAGAAAAAAACAAGCTAATAGCTGATTGGCAAAGGATCCCATTAAATCAGCCTTCCTCTTCTGGGAATAAGCCAGTCCATTTAAGCAATTTGTATCATTTTAGGAGAAGGCATTGTAGATGCATTCTCAAAGCCAGGACTCTATATGTGATACAGGCAAATGAATCTTTAATAAGAAGCATTTGTATGAAAAAAAGAAGAAAAGTGAAATTCAATGCCTAGAGTAGTCTATAACTAGTTTTTCTAGAGTCTCTGAAGCATCTTCATTTGGAATGGGCAGACGGTGGCAATCTGATAGATTTTTCTGCTTTCTGGTTTGTATGTCACAAGATTTTTTATACATAAGTTTCAGTCTTCAGGACTTGCAGAAAAAGGGAATTTCAATATTAGTGACTCCAGGTTGGAAAAATGGGAGAAAAACTTAGAAACATAGTTTGAAGATTTGTAGCCAGGAAATAATTCAGAATTTGGTCCAAATTATGGGGCAATAATTAAAACTCAAAAACAACGAACAGGGCTAGAATCTAATAAGAGCTGTATCATAGTTTTCTTCTGAAACACAATTTTAATCTCTCTAGATCCCCATCACTACCAAGAATAAATCATAATAAGATCAATTTATCTGCAAAATAATTTTTAGTCTTATTATACTTGGCCTAATTATTTACATAAAGTATAGCAAGAAGAGAGATTGTCCATATCTGTTCTTTCAAAGTTGGCTTTTCTGGAACTATTTTATAAGGAATTTCAAATTAGAGTTTTAAAAACCTTGAGACTTAGGAGTCAAGCCAAATGCTATGCCTGTAATACCTGTATAAATTGGATGCATTTCTTTCTTCTTAAGGTCTTCAAAATATCCTGAGGTTCCTAGGCCTGACGCACAGTAGCACTGGAGCTGGGTGTGCTGGCTCATGCCTGCAATCCCAGCACTTTGAGAGGCCCAGGTGGGAGTATTACTTGAGCCCAGGAGTTTAAGACGAACCTGGGCAACACAATGAGATTCACTTAGAAAAAAAAAAAAGAGAGAGAGAGAGAGAAAGAAAGTAACATTGTTTACTTACCACAGTCAGAAATTCTGTAAAGGAAACATGTAGATAAAGTACCAGACCAGTTTTTCCAAAGGACTGTTTTTGTTGTCGTTGTTGTTGTTGTTGTTTTTAGACAGGGTCTTACTCTGTCACTCAGGCCAGAGTGCAGTGGTTTGATCACAGCTTACTGCAGCCTGGATCTCCATGGGCTCAGGTGATCCTCCCACCTCAGCCTCTTGAGTAGCTTGGACTACAGGCTCATGCAACCACACCCGGCTAATTTTTTGTATTTTTGGAGAAACAGAGATTTTGCCATTGTTGCTCAGGCTGATCTTGAACTCCTGGGCTCAAGAGATTCACCTGCCTTGGCCTCTCAAAGTGCTGGAATTAGAGGCATGAGCCACTGGTCTGGCCCCCCTCGAGGAGGTTTTTATTGGATCCATGAAAGTCAACCTCAATCCCTCAAGTAGTCATATTTGAAAATATGACACTCCAATTAAAGCATTGGTTAAAAAACCCTCAGTATCTCCAATTACAATTGACCTTTGAATAACATGGTTTGAACTAAGTAGGTCCAGCTATTCGTGGATTTTTTTTCAATAAATATATCAAAAATTTTTTGGAGCATTGCAATAATTTGAAAAAAAAAACCCTTAGATGAACCATGTAACCTAAAAATATTGAAAATAATAAAAAGGTATGTCATGAATGCATAAAATATATGTAAGTACTAGTTCATTTTATAATTTACTACAATAAGGTGTACACTAGTTTATTATAAAAAGCTAAAATTTGTCAAAAATTATGCACATAAGCACAGACCATCCACAATGCCATTCACAGTTGAGATAAATGTAAGCAAATGTAAAGATGTGTATTAAATTATAACTGCATAAAATTTACTCCAGTACATATGGTACTATTGTAATAATTTTGTAGCCACCTACTGTTGCTATTGGAGAGAGCTCATGTTTTGGAAGTATCTGCTTAAAACACTTGTGATGCTAATCCTCTCTGTGTGAACACCTCATCTCTCCAATAAATGGATGCCAAAGTAACACAAAAACATAGAAATTTGCCACAAGCTTTTGTAAAGAGACCAATTTTAGTTATATAGATAGCTGCCAGTCTATTCTGTTTTTCAACTGGGCCTCTTAGGTCTAGGAAGAGCCTACTAATGAATAGGACTGACAATGCATTGAAGTTTCCAAGGCCAAATATGTGAAAACATGTACAGCTGGAAGGCAGAGAAACTACATCCACAAAAATCCAGGATCTCATTTTTACACTGAACCCAAAGTGCACCTCACTGTAAGGACATTCCTTCGAGGTTGGTAGGTGCCCCTGGCTTTGCAAAACTTATAACAGTGAGAAAATTAGGACAGTGACAGAAATCTGACTTAACTGACATCTTGCTTCTAACCTCCAAGCTGCCCTTTTTCATTCCTAGGCATAGGCTGAACTAACTTTGGAAGGAACTTAGGTTATAATTTTACTTTAAAACAAAGATAACAGCTCTTTCCGAAACAAACCCCATCTAACCTGAGGACCAGACTCCCTTTGTAAGACTAACACACTAGCCACGAGATTAGAAATTATGGTCTAGGACAGTGGTCCCCAATATTTTTGGCACCAGGGACCAGTTTTGTGAAAGACAATTTTTACACGGCTTGGGGGTCGGGGAAGATGGCTTCAGGATGAAACTGTTCCACTTCAAATCATCAGGTATTGGTTAGATTTTCATAAGGAGCCCACAACCTAGATCCCTCTCATGTGCAGTTCACAATAGGGTTCATTCTCCTTTGAGAATCTAATGCCAAGGCTGATCTGACAGGAATACAGGAGCTCAGGTGGTAATGCTCACTTGCCCACCACTCACCTCCTGCTGTGCAGCCTGGTTTCTACTTTTTGTATTTCTTTTTTTTCTTTTTTTGAGACAGAGTCTTGCTCTGTCACCCAGGTTGGAGTGCAATGGTGCGATCTCGGCTCACTGCAACCTCTGCCTCCCGGGTTCAAGCGATTCTCCTGCCTCAGCCTCATGAGTAGCTGGGATTACAGATTACAGGCATGTGCCACTACACCCAGCTAATGTATTTTTGGTAGAGACGCGGTTTCACCATGTTGGTCAGGCTGGTCTCGAATTCCTGACCTCATGATCCGTCCACCTTGGCCTCCAAACGTGCTGGGATTACAGGTGTGAGCCACCGTGACTGGCTTCTAATTTTTGTATTTCTAACAGGCCACAGGCTAGTACCGGTCGGCAGCACAGAAGTTGAGGTCCCCTAGTCTAGAAGTTATGCAGCCAGAGGCAGCAAGATTCCAAAGCTCCCCAATAGCTCCCAAAGATAACATCACTATTGTAAAACCTAAGATTAGTGTTCGTGATATTTTTCAGACCCTGCATTTTGAAGCACCAGCTAGTGCCACCTAGACCAGTAAACTGGCTATCTGGTCTTGTGGTGCCTATTCAGGACCAACTCAGTGAAGGCGGACAGCTTTGACTCCCTGTGACTTGATCCCCGACCTGACCAATCAGCACTCCCCACTCCCTCGCCCCCCGAGCCACCAAATTATCCTTTAAAAACCCCAGTCTTCAAACTTCCCAGGAGACTGAATTGAGTAATAAAGCTCTGGTTTCCCCTTCAGCCAGCTCTGTGTGAATTAAACTCTCTATTGCAATTCTTCTGTCTTGATAAATTGGCTCTATCTCAGCAGCAGGCAAAATAAACCCATTTGGCAGCTACAACCCAATGCCAATCAGTCGACTCTGTGATCAGCTCTCCCCCCAGAAGAGTCTATTCCTCCATGCCAAGTGTTCCCACAGCCTCTAAGTATCCAAACCACACTTTTCTTACGTAAATGCACAAAGAAACCAGTAGCCTCCTTCAAGTAATAACCATGCACTGCAACTTCTGCCAGCCACCTTTAAAACTTCATTCCTTTCCAGTGACTCACCAGTCCTTGTACACTCAAATGTCAAGCACTTCCTCACAGTACAAAGTAACTCCCCGTATTCCTCAAAATCCAAATAAATCAGGAAACTCAGTGCAAAAACAAACAACAACAAACAATGGAGCTTGAGACTTGAGAGGAATCTGCTCATGACTCTTGGGGAGCTATGAGAAAGACAGGGAGATCCCCAAAATGGTGACTGTGGTGCCTTTTTTTTTTTTTTGGTTCCTAAAGGGGTCTCAGAGTCACTAGAAGTCTCCTCTAGATCTCGCCGTAAGAAATTGAAGCTGATGAAAAGGAAGGAGAAATAAGTGAAAGGAAGTAGAGGAAAGAACCTTAGAGGAGCCAATTTTTCGAAGATTTTAAGCTTTCTAAAAGGCCAATAAAACTTCACATTTTTCTCAGCAAAAATCATGCCAATAAGAAAGCAAGGTAACAGAAGGACTGAACTATATAATTAAAAGAGGTTTCTGTGAACTGATAAAAACTCCCAGAAACAGAACCCAAAAGAGAAAAAGTAGAAAGACCTTAAAAAAATAGCCTGAATATCAACTTTTAATTAAGCTAACTTCTGACCCCAGAGCTCTTAAAAATTTTTTTTATCAAGCCTTATCCAGGCAAAAAGCAAACATTCTTGTTCTTGTCTTTTCCTTGTAGAAATTTGTACCAAGAAGAAGTTGCATTGGGGCGAGGGTCATTGGAGGGTTGTGGGTGGATATTTGTTTAACAGAGGTTTAGGTTAATTAATTACTATTTTAATTTTTCTTTCTCTTTTTTATTGTTTAATGAGCAGACAGTCTTGTTTTCAATGTCTCAATTTCTTACAATATCTGCAAGCATCCTGAGATAGATAGATGGGCTTTAAACTGTTCTTAGAGGCACATTGCTGTTTTCACAGTGCCTCTATAGCTTTGTCAATCAAGGAAAATGATGAAAGCAAGTCTCAGTCATTTTAGGAGATGTATTTGCCATAGCTAAAAACACACCCAGGAGACAGGTCTCTGTCTTTCTCCAAAGATGATTTTGAGGGCTTCAATATTTAAAGGGGAAAGGGCAGGATATTGAGAACTACACAATTTTCATGTGAGAAGGGAGTCAGGGAAAATAGTCATTCATGTCTTTGTCTGGATGAGTGAATCTACATTTTTATATAAGATAACATAGACAATAGTGAGAGGCAACAACGTGCTAGCAGCCCTCACTCACTCTTGGTGCCTCCTCAGCCTCGGCGTGCTTGAGGAGCCCTTCAGCCTGCCACTGCACTGTGGGAGCCCCTCTCTGGGCTGGCCAAGGCTGGGGCCAGCTCCCTCTACTTGCGGGGAGGTGTGGAGGGCAAGGTGCGGGTGGGAACTGGGGCTGCACGTGGAGCTCATCGGACAGCACGAGTTCCGGGTGGGCACAGGCTTGGTAGGCCCTGCTTTTGAAGTGGACGGCCAGCCGGCGCTGTCGGCCCCCGGCAGTGAGGGGCTTAGCACCTGGGCCATCAGCTGTGGAGGATGCGCCAGGTCCCCCAGCACTACTGGCCCACCCGTGCCACACTTGAATTCTTGCCGCGCCTCAGCCACCTCCCCACAGGGCAGGGCTCGGGACCCTCAGCCTGCCATGCCCAAGCCCCCCTACTGGTGGGCTCCCCAGTGGCCTAAGCCTCCCCAACGGGCTCAGCCCCCTGCTCCGCAGCACCCAGTCCCATCAACAGCCCAAGGGCTAAGGAGTGCAGGTGGGTGGCACGGGACTGGTGGGCAGCTCTGCCCATGGCCCTGGCACAGGATCCACTAGGCAAAGCCAGCTGGGCTCCTGAGTCAAGTGGGGACTTGGGGAACTTTTATGTCTAGCAAAAGGATTGTAAATGCACCAATCAGCACTCTGTGTCTAGCTCAAGGTTTGTAAATGCATCAATCAGTGCTCTGTGTCTAGCTAATGTAGTGGGGACTTGGAAACTTTTATGTCTAGCTAAAGGATTGTAAATCCACCAATCAGCACTCTGTGTCTAGGTCAAGGTTTGTAAACGCACCAATCAGCCCTCTGTAAAACGGGCCAATCAGCTTTCTGTAAAATGGGCTAATCAGCAGGATGTGGGTGGAGTCAAATAAGGGAATAAAAGCAGGCTGCCCCAGCCAGCAGCGGCAACCAGCTTGGGTCCCCTTCTGCACTGTGGAAGCTTTGTTTTTTAATTCTTTGCAATAAATCTCGCTGCTGCTCACTCTTTGTGTCCATGCTGCCTTTGTGATCTGTAACACCACGAAGGTCTGCAGCTTCACTCCTGCAGCCAGCAAGACCACAAACCCACCAGGAGGAATGAACAACTCCAGGCATGCCACCATTATGAACTGTAACACTCACTGCAAAGGTCTGCAGCTTCACTCCTGAAGTCAGCAAGACCACGAACCCACCAGAAGGAAGAAACTCTGGACACATCCGAACATCAGAAGGAACAAACTCCGGACACACCATCTTTAAGAACTGTAACACTCACTGCGAGGGTCTGCGGCTTCATTGTTGAAGTCAGCGAGACCAAGAACCCACCAATTCCAGACACAATAGTACAGAGGAAACAATCAGATATGCATTGATCTCAGGTGGGCAGAGGGATGACTTTGAGTTCTGTTTTATGTCCCTGCACCTGAGAATATAATCTATCAATTTACATTGCTATGGTGAACTTTAACAGAAATGCTATAGTGTAAAGATCTTGGGATCCACAAGGAAATTCCTTGTGGGCAAAATGTGAAGCAGGCATGTAGCTTTACATCATCTTAGCCATCTTATTTAAAAACCAAAATGGGAGACAGGTTTTCATGACCCAGTTACCAGCTTGACTTATTCCTTTAGCTTAGTGAGTTTGGGGTCCAGATATTTATTTTCCTTTCATAGCTTAAAGAAAGGAAAAATTTGTTAGCCACAAATGGGGAAGGATTTACATTTGTGTCCTGCAATATTCTCTAGGCTGTCAGCTTCTCAGCTAAAGATCTATGCACAAAGGCCGACCTTCCTGTGTGTCCCATAGATGGAAAATTAAAATAGACAAAAAAGAGAGCGAGAGAGAGAGGAAGGAAGGGAGAGAGAGAGAGAGATGAAAGAAAAAAAGAAAGAAAGAAAGAAAGAAAAGAAAAAAGAAAACTCAAAGCTGTTCATGAAGGGGAAAATGATAAATAACAAATGGGTCCCTGATTCACAAGAATATAGATTCATAACAAATGATTTAAACTAATTCATATAAATGTCTGTTCTTTCTTTAGGTTTGAAGAATTTACATTTTTAAGAAACTTATGACTAGGAATTAAACCCAGGCTGAAGTGTTGACAGAACCAAATCATAACCACTAGACTACAGGGTGAAATATAGCTTTTGTAAATATTACAGGAAATCCAAAACAGGCATTTGGGAATTTACAAAGTTTAAATTTTTTCTTAGGTCACTGATATAGTTTGGCTCTGTGTCCCCACCTAAAGCTCATGTTGAATTGTAATCCCCAATGTAGAGGAAGGGACCTAGTGGGAAGTGATTGTATCATGGGATAGATTTCTACCTTGCTATTCTTGTGATGGTGAATGAGTTCTCACAAGATCTAGTTGTTTGAAAATGTGTTGCACTTCCCCCTTTACTCTTTCTCTGCTGTTCTTCCATGTGAAGACAATGGCTGCTTCCCCTTCACCTTCCACCATTATTGTAAGTTCCCTGATTCCTCACCAGCCATGCTTCTGTATAGTCTGTGGAACTGTGAGCCAATTAAAACTCTTTTCTTTATAAATTACCCAGTCTCAGGTAGTTCTTCGTACCAATGTGAGAACAGACTAACATAGAAAATTGGTACTGGGAGTAGGACATTGCTATAAAGATACCTGAAAACGTGGAAGTGATTTGGAACTGGGTAATAGACAGAAGTTGAAACAGTTTGGAGGGCCCAGAAGAATACAGGAAGATGAATGAAGGCTTGGAAACTTCCTAGAGACTTGTTGTGTCATTGTGACCAAAATGTTGATAGTGACATGAACAATTAAGTCCAGGCTGAGGAGGTTTCAGATGGAAATGAAAAACTTATTGGGAATTGGAGTAAAGTCAGTCTTGCTATGCTTTAGCAAAGATACTGGTGGCATTTTGCCCAGCTCTAGGGAATCTGTTGAACTTTAAACTTGAGAGAGATGACTTAGGGTATTTGGTGAAAGAAATTTCTAAGCAGCAAAGAATTCAAGATTTGACCTGGCTGCTTCTAAAAGCCTATGTTTATATGAATGAACAAAGAGATGATCTGAGACTGGAACTTATATTTAAAAGGGACACAAAGCATAAAATTTTGAAAAATTTGCAGTGTGGCCCTGTGGTAGGGAAGAAAAACCTATTTTTAGGGAAGGAATTCAAGCAGGCTTCAGAAATTTGCATAACTACAAAGAAGGGAGGTACTAATAGCCAAGACCATGAGAAACAGGCCCTGAAGATATTTCAGGGACCATCACAGGAGCCCTCCCAGGCCCAGGTACTTGGAATGCTGCTTCAGAGAGTGAAAACCACAAGCCTTGGTGGCTTCCACATAGTGTTAAGCCTGCAGGTGAACAGAGTGCAAGAGTTGAGGCTTGTGATCCTCTGCCTAGATTTCAGAAAATGATGTATGGAAAAGCCTGGGTGTCCAAGCAGAAGTCTTCTCCAGAAGCAGAGCCCTTATGAAGAACCTCTACTAGGGCAGTGAAGAGGGAAAATGTGGGGTTGGAGCCCACACACAGAGTCCCCACTGTGGCACTGCCAAGTGGAGCTGTGAGAAGAGGGCCATTATCCTCCAGACCTCAGAATGGTAGATCCACCAAGAGCTTCCACTGTGTGCCTGGAAAAGCCACAGACACTCAATGTTAGCTCATGAAAGCAGCCACGGGAGCTATACCTTGCAGAGCCTTGGGAGCCTGCCCCTTGTATCAGCATGGCCTGGATATGAGACGTGAAGCCAAAGAAGATGATTTTGAATCATTAAGATTTAATGACTTTGTGCTGGGTTTTGAACTTACTTGGGACCTAATAGCTCCTTTGCTTTGGCCAATTTCTCCCTTTTGAAAAGGGAGTATTTACTCATTGCCTGTACACCATATTTACCCAAATGCCTGTATCCCCATTGTATCTTGAAAGTAACTAACCTGTTTTTTTATTTTACAGGCCTATAGGCAAAAGAGACTTTGAGACTTTGGACTTGGACTTTGAGTCAATGCTGAAATGAGTAAATACTTTGGGCTACTGTTGGGAAGCCATGATTGTGTTTTGAAATGTGAGAAGAACATGAGATTTTGTAGGGACCAGGAGTAGAATAAAATCATTTGGCTCTGTGTCCCCACTCAAATCTCATGCTGAGTTGTAATCCCCAGGAACTAGGGACAAGCCATGTTCAGGATGGCAGCTTCATCTTCTGTCTCTGCCAGCCACATGTATAGTAAGAAGCAGACAAGATGGCACCAATCAGCTGGAAAGCCCATTTGCATAAGAAGATTAGGGTAGGGTTACTAGCCTTCCCCACGTGCTATGTAAATGTCATACCTGATCAAACTGATCTGTGAGCCCTACGTAAATCAGACACCACCTCCTCAAACTGGACTATAAAACCTGGTGCATTCGCTGCCCACTGGTCCTTTCTATTTGGAGACCTCTTTCTGTATGGACCCCTTTCTCTATGGTTTCTCTTTCTCTTCTCTTCTGCCTGTTAAACCTCTACTCTTAAATCCCTCATGTGTGCCTGTGTCCTAAACTTTTCTGGCACATGACAATGAACCCCAGGGTATATATACCCCAGACAATGTAGCCCCTTCACTGCTATTTATTGTTGCTTTTTTAGAGATGAGGTCTTGCTATGTTGCCCAAACTGGAGTGCAGTGACTATAGACAGGCATAATCCCAGTACTGATTGTCACAAAAATTGACCTGCTATTTCTGACCTGGGCTGGTTAATTCCTCCTTAGACAACCTGGTGGTCCCCCACGTCACAGAGGTTACCATACTGATGCCAAACTTAATGCAGACATTTGATTGGCAGAGCATGCTACAGCCCAGATCTCTTGGACTCAAGTGATCCTCCTGCCTTAGCCTCCTGAGTAGCTGGAACTACAGGCATGACCACTGCACCTGGCAAAATGCCGCTATTTTTATATACTTAGAGACAAAGAAACTAAAGATAGTCAAACATTGATGTTCTTGTCTGAACGTGGATTTAAGTTTCAATTCCTATAAAAGTGTTCCCAGGGACTTTTATAACCGTTTTTCTTTAGTGCCTTATTTACAGGCACAGATATTTATAGAAACCAGATGGTCCAGGATGGTGCCAGAGCTTCTTGATCCCTGACAAGATATCAAAGGGAGAAAGACCCTCAAACTGGCCCAAACTGGAACAGACAACCACTAGCTGCCTTTAGATTATTAACATATAATTATAATACTAAAATTCTCTCCTCCTAAAAGAAAATCTTTGTCATTTTGTATACAAAGTTTGTATGAAGATGTATGTTTGTAAATTTGAAACTGCCTTTGGAAAAATCAACAGGGAGATCTGCTGTAGCCAACATACCCCAACTTTGCCTTTAGCTTTCAAGCTGCCTTAATTATCTTTGGGCTTCAGCCCAAGCAACTGTCAGAGACACTTAGGTTATAGTTTAAATGATAATAGCCCTTCCACAAGACTCAATTGCCTCTGTAAATCTAATGAAAGGCCAGCAGGCCAGGGGGAGGTGAGGAGCCTAAATTCTGCTAAGGTGTAGACATCAATAATTGTCAACCATTATTTTGGAAGTCCTGCAGATAACATCACTGTTGTAGAATCTAAGAGTGGCCTTTTGAGATATCTTTTCAGAATTTTTACACATTTGACACTCGTGGCTCCAACTGGACCCACTGACAGATGGCTCCTGTGGTCCCACCCAGAATAAATTTAGTACAAGAGAACAGCTTCAACTCCCTACAACTTCATCTCCACCCCAACCAATTAGCAGCAAGCACCCATTTCTAGCTATCTCCACCTTTTCCCCTAAACTACCTTTGAAAAACTCCTAACCTATGAGCCTGAGACAAGATTGATTTGAGTAATAACTCTGTCTCCTGTGTGGAGTGGCCAGCCTTGGGTCAACTAAACTCTTTTGTTACTGTAATGCCATGGTCTTTATTTGTGAAGTGGGCAGGAAGAATCTTTTTGGTGGTAATAAATTGAACCTGTGCATCTGGAGTCCCACACTGCACATGCTAACATTCCTCTTCCTCCTCATACCCAGTCCTCAAAACCTCACACCCTTTATTGCTTGGGAAAAAGGAGTCT
The DNA here is from genome assembly GCF_000001405.40 of Homo sapiens. Lineage (NCBI taxonomy): Eukaryota > Metazoa > Chordata > Mammalia > Primates > Hominidae > Homo > Homo sapiens. The sequence goes on along the minus strand of NC_000005.10, from coordinate 18,546,136 downwards.
TCTGAATAAGAGCTCACTCCTTCTCCATTTCTGTCCAGAAATAAAACCTGCTTGGCTTTTGTTCCAATTGGATGTTCTTTCTTTATGATTGATACAAAGTAGGGAAGGAACTCAGTTGACCAGTGAGGAAAGAAGTTCTATTATTGATACAAATGTAAGTATCTCTCATTGCTTTTAATCCTTTTTTTGTCAGAATGAAACTTTCCTCAATAAATTACTCTCTTTAATAATGTTGGTAAAAATACACTTGATTATTACAAGCAAGCATTAAGTTTCACATCATGTAATCACAAAAGGAATCTTTATTTTGTGTATATTATTAAAATATGGATAGTATAAGGGTAAGTACAATATCTAATAAAAAATGATTTTAAAAAAGGGAGTTACCTTTTTCTTTGAGCATTTACTTTGGAAAATTTCTAAAGTCTTCTTCTGCCTCTTTCCAATGTTCATAAATATTTTAAAAGTGAAACGACCCTCTTTTCAGTTTTACAACCCAGGAATATTTCTTCAAGGGTCTAAGAGCCAACTCTCTAAAATGTTATCAAGAGGAAAGAGCCCCTATCTCCCAATTTCTTCTGGAGTCAAATGTGTGCCTTGCTCAAGTTGCAAAGCTACTTTCTATCATAAAGATATGAGTTTAATTTTTTTGACAAAGCCAATTAGCACAAACGGTCACCCCAATTACTAGGTAAATTTAGGTGGAACTACATGTGACAAATGGTGCTGTCAAGTCCTCTTACTTGAGACTGGTTATGGCTTACCTTGAATACTTGTATGCAATGGATTGTATCTGCTTGACTATATACTAGGGTAAGCTTTCTTTCTGTCTCTGCAATCTCTTTAACAATTGCCTAGACAGAATGTGTTGCTCATCACATTCTGGCTTATGCTTATCCAATAATGAAGCAGTTATTTTTCTCTTCAACCTTTGTGGAGAGGAATTCTGAGTTGGCAGTAGATAGTGCTTTTAATATTTCCCCAGCAATATTCTACATAATTTTATATTTCAAATCTTTTTCCTGGTGAAGATCTTCAATGAATAGGGACAATATACATTTAAACTATTTTTTTTTTTTGCTGAAATGGGAATACACAAATATTAGAAAATTGAAAATTTCCATGAGTTAATATAGAACATTATACGTTGCATGTAAAAGTCATACAATATAAAAAGTCACACAACTAGTACGTTTAACATTTACAACAGCATTATGTGGAGACATCTCATACATACTATGTCATTTTCTCCATAAAATGAGTTTTTCCTTAACTGTATATAAGTTTATGTTAGCAGTGGCAAATTTGTACAGGCCTGTAGCAACCTCAATTCGAGGAGGCAGAAAGCAGAAGGAGGAACTGAGGCAAGTTTTAGAGCAGGAGTGAAAGTTTGTTAAAAAGCTTTAGAGCAGGAATGAAAGGAGGTAAAGTACTCTTGGAAGAGGGCCAAGCAGGTGACTTGAGTGATCAAGTGTGCAGTTTGACCTTTGACTGACAGTTTTATATGCCGGCATGCTTCTGAGGTCTTGCATCTCTTCTCCCCTTTTCTTTCCTTGGAGAGGGCTGTCTGCATGCACACAGTGGCCTGCCGGCACTTGGGAGGGCAGCATGCTCAGTGTGTTTACTGGAGTTGTACGCATGCTCACTTGAGACATTCTTCGCTTACCAGTCAATTGTCTCTAGAAGATCATATACCAGTTAAACGCCACCATTTTGTCTCTTAATGAGCATGCTTGACCCCAGGTGCCCACTCCTGAGATTTTATAGGAAGGCTGTTGATCACCAGTTTCATGTATTTTTTATCTACTGGGAGATTCCCTTTCACTGGTGCTAGCTGTGATCAATTATAATTTTAGAGTGAGTTTAACAACCTCCTGACCATCACCTGATGGTTGCCTAATATTCCTGGTGTGTGGCAGTGGGGACCCTCTCCTGTCCTGCTCATGTCTGACTAGATTACCTACTGTAACATCCGCATATGCAAAATATCAGGCAAGTCCTTACTAGACAACATGATCTATACAGAATAACCTAAAACAGCTCTTTCTCTTTTGCTTTTATTTTTCCCTAGTCCCAGGACTATCTTACTCTAAAGATTTAGATACTAGATACAAACTTTCATGCGCGTCCCTGTGAAGAGACCACCAAACAGGCATTGTGTGAGCAACATGGCTGTTTATTTCATCTGGGTGCTGGCGGGCTGAGTCCGAAAAGAGAGTCAGCGAAGGGAGATAAAGGTGGGGCCATTTTATAGGATTTGGGTAGGTAAACGAAAATTACAGTCAAAGGGGGTTTGTTCTCTGGCGGGCAGGAGTGGGGGTCGCAAGGTGCTCAGTGGGGGTGATTTTTGAGCCAGGATGAGCCAGGAAAAGGACTTTCACAAGGTAATGTCATCACTTAAGGCAAGGACCGGCCATTTACACTTCTTTTGTGGTGGAATGTCATCAGTTAAGATGGGGCAGGGCATATTCACTTCTTTTGTGATTCTTCAGTTACTTCAGGCCATCTGGGCATATATGTGCAAGTCACAGGTGATGCGATGGCTTGGCTTGGGCTCAGAGGCCTGACATTCCTGCCTTCTTATATTAATAAGAAAAATAAAACAAAATAGTGTTGAAGTGTTGGGGCGGCAAAAATTTTTGGGGAGTGGTATGGAGAGAGAATGGGTGATATTTCTCAGGGCTGCTTCAAGCGGGATTAGGGGTGGCGTGGGAACGTAGAGTGGGAGAGATTAAGATGAAGGGAGGTCTTGTGGTAAGGGGTGATATTGTGGGGATGTTTGAAGAAATATTTGTCGTATAGAATGATTGGTGAAGGCCTGGATACGGTTTTGGATGAATTGAGAAACTAAATGGAATAACAGAAGGAGAAAAACAGATATAAAAGTTCTAAGAATTGGGACGACTCAGGATATCTGATTAGAGAGTGCCTAAGGAGATTCAGCATAGTCCTGCCAGCAAAGATTATTTATTTACTTCAAGAAGTAAGAGTGGCAGTTTGGGGATAGCACCAGGAGATATCAGCTGTGATGGCTTGGAGAAACAGTGTAAACCGGCAGTGTAAACAAGAGCAGGGCATGTATGAGTAGTTGAGAATGGTGAATAGGAGCATGACTAGACAGAAGATAGTAGGGATGACAAGTTTTTTGGGGGGCACAGTCTAAGTTGGTCTGGTGTCTGGAATGAGACTGGGGCCTAATAAAAAGGAGTGTCTATACAGGAGGTTAAATGGGCTGTACCCTGTAGCATTCCAAGGACAGGCCTGAATTCTGAGAAGGGAAAGTGGTAAAAGTATTGTCCAGTCCTTTTTAAGTTGGTGGCTGAGCTTGGTGAGGTGTGTTTTTAATAGACCACTAGTCTGTCACTGAATACTAAGAGCCTGAAAAAATGCTTGGCTGATCTGACTAATAAAGGCTGGTCTGTTATCAGACTGTACAGAGGTGGGAAGGCTAAACTGAGGAATTATGTCTGACAGAAGGGAAGAAATGACTGCAGTGGCCTTCTCAGACCCTGTAGGAAAGGCCTCTACCTGTCTACTGAAAGTGTCTACTTAGACTAAGAGGTATTTTAGTTTTTGTGACTGAGGGCATGTTGAGTAAAGCTAATTTGCCAGTCCTGGGTAGGGGCAAATCTTCAAGCTTGATGTGTAGGGAAGGGAGGGGGCCTGAATAATTGCTGAGGAGTAGTAGAATAGCAGATGGAACACTGAGAAGTTATTTCCTTGAGGATAGATTTCCACGATGGAAAGGAAATGAGAGGTTTTAAGAGGTGGGCTAGTGGTTTGTACTACAGCATAGCCTGCCTTTGCTGGTGTGTGGCGATTAGGCCTGGTGGAACTGCCATCAATAAATCAAGCGCGATCAGGGTGAGGAACAGGAAAGAAGGAAATATGGGGAAATGGGGCGAATGTCAGGTGGATCAGAGAGATACAGTCATGGGGGTCAGGTGTGGTATCAGGAATAATGTGAGAGGCCGGATTGAAGTCCGTGCCGGGAACAATGGTAATTGTGGGAGACTTAACAAAGAGTGAGTACAGCTGAAGGAGCCAGGGAGCAGAAAGTATATGCATCAGGAATAAGGAAGAAAATAGATTTCTGAAGTTATGAGAAATGTAGAGAGTGAGTTGAGCATAGTTTGTGATTTTTAGGGCCTCTAAAATATTAGGGCGACAGCAGCCGCTGTACGGAGACATGAGGGCTAGGCTGAAACAGTAAGGTCAAGTTGTTCGCACAGAAAGGCTACAGGGTGTGGTCCTCGCTCTTGTGTAAGAATTCTGACCACACTAACCATGCCTAGGAAGGAAAGGAGTTGTTTTGTAAGGGATTGGGGTTTGGGAGATTAATTGGACACGATCAACAGGGAAAGCACTTGTGTTGTGTTTTTATGAGAATTATGCCAAGATAGGTAACAGATGAGGATGAAATTTGGGCTTGACTGAAGTAATGGAGGCTGTCTGTGAAACCTTGCAGCAGAACAACCCAGGTAATTTGCTGAGCCTAATGGGTGTCAGGGTCAGTCCACGTGAAAGCGAAGAGAGGCTGGGAAGACGGGTGCAAAGATAGTAAAGAAAGCATGTTTGAGATCCAGAACAGAACAATGGATCGTGGAGGGAGGTATTGAGGATAGGAGAGTATATGGGTTTGGCACCATGGGGTGGATAGTGAAAACAATTTGGTTGATAAGGCTTAGATCCTGAACTAACTTGTAAGGCTTGTCTGGTTTTAGAACAGGTAAAATGGGGGAATTGTAAGGAGAGTTTATAGGCTTTCAAAGGCCATGCTGTAGCAGGTGAGTGATAACAAGCTTTGATCCTTTCAAAGCATGCTGTGGGATGGGATATTGGCATTGAGTGAGGTAAGGGTGATTAGGTTTTAATGAGATGGTAAGGGGTGCATGATTAGTCACCAAGGAGGGAGTAGAGGTATCTTATACTTGTGGGTTAAGCTGGGGGAATACAAGAGGAGAATGCAAAGGAGGCTTTGGATTGGGAAGAAGGGCAGCAATGAGATGCAGCTGTAATCCAGGAATAGTCAGGGAAGCAGATAATTTAGTTAAAGTGTCTCGGCCTAATAAGGGAACTGGGCAGGTGGGGATAACTAAAAAAGAGTGCATAAAAGAGTGTTGTCTAAGTTGGCACTAGAGTTGGGGAGTTTTAAGAGGTTTAGAAGCCTGGCCATCAATACCCACAACAGTTATGGAGGCAAGGGAAACAGGCCCTTGAAAAGAAGGTAACATGGAGTGGGTAGCCTCCGTATTGATTAAGAAGGGGATGGGCTTACTTTCCACTGTGAGAGTTACCTAAAGTTTGGCGTCCATGATGGTCTACGGGGCTTCTGAGGCGATTGGGCAGCGTCAATCTTCAGCTGCTAAGCCGAGAAGATCTGGGAAGGAGTCAGTCAGAGAGCCTTGGGCCAGAGTTCCAGGGGCTCTGGGAGTGTCTGCCAGGTGAGTTGAACAGTCCGATTTCCAGTGGGGTCCCGCACAGATGGGACACAGCTTAGGAGGAATCCTGGGCTGCAGGCATTCCTTGGCCTGGTGGCCAGATTTCTGGCACTTGTAGCAATCTCCTGTGGGAGGAGGTTCTGGAGGAACGCCTGGCCACTGCGGTTCATGCATTTGGAAGTTCTTGTGTGCTGGAGATGTGGCTGGGGTTTGTCTCACAGTGGAGGCAAGGAATTGCAACTTTTTTTTTTATTATTGTACACCTTAAAGGTGAGGTTAATAAGTCCTGTTGTGGGGTTTGAGGGCCAGATTCTAATTTTTGGAGTTTTATTTAATGTCGGGAGCAGATTGGGTAATAAAATGTATATTGAGAATAAGATGGCCTTTTGACCTTTTAGGGTCTAGGCTTGTAAAGCCTCTCAGGGTTGCTGCCGAACGAGCCATGAACTGGGCTGGGTTTTTATATTTGATGAAAAAGAGCCTAAACGCTATCTGATTTGGAATAAAGAAAAAGCAGCATTAACCTTGACTATGCCTTTGGCTCCAGCCACCTTTTTAAGAGTAAATTGCTGTGTAGGTGGGGGAGGGCTAGTCACAGAATGAAACTGTAAGCCAGACCAGGTGTGAGGAGGGGAGGCGATAAAAAGATTACAGGGTGGAGGGGCGGAGGCTGAGGAAGAATTGGGACCTAGCTTAGGCTAGTGAGGAGGGGAGAGGTCAGATGGGTCTGTAGAAAAGGAAGATTAGAAAGACTCAGCGCCGCTTGGGGTTGGGACTGAGGGGACAAGCGGGAGGGAAAGAAGGAAGATTTGGGACGAGTTGCACTGGGCACAGAGACTAGGGAGGGACTGATGTATAAAAGAATGCCTGGACGTCAGGCACCTCAGACCATTTGCCCATTTTACGACAAGAATTATTTAGATCTTGTAGGATGGAAAAATTGAAACTGCCATTTTCTGGCTATTTGGAACTACTGTCGAGTTGTATTGGGGTCAAGCGGCATTGCAGAAGAAAATAAGGCATTTAGGTTTTAGGTCAGGTGCGAGTTGAAGAGGTTTTAAGTTTTTGAGAAGACAGGCTAAGGGAGAAGAAGGAGGAATGGAAGGTGGAATCTTACCCATAGTGAAGGAGGCAAGCCCAGAAAAAAGAGTAGAGACATGGAGAAGGGGTGGGGGGATCTAGCCCTGCAGAAAAGCAGAGAAGGGGTTGGGGCATGGAAATAAGGGATTGGGGCACAGAGATAAGAGGTTGGGGTGCGGAAATAAGGGATTGGTTTCATGCGCATCCGTGTGAAGAGACCACGAAACAGGCTTGTGTGAGCAACATGGCTGTTTATTTCACCTGGGTGCTGGCGGGCTGAGTCCGAAAAGAGAGTCAGCGAAGGGAGACAAGGGTGGGGCCGTTTTATAGGATTTGGGTAGGTAAAGGAATATTACAGTCAAAGGGGGTTTGTTCTCTGGCGGGCAGGAGTGGGGGTTGCAAGGTGCTCAGTGGGGGTGCTTTTTGAGCCAGGAAAAGGACTTTCACAAGGTAATGTCATCAGTTAAGGCAAGGACCGGCCATCTACACTTCTTTTGTGGTGGAATGTCATCAGTTAAGGTGGGGCAGGGCATATTCACTTCTTTTGTGATTCTTCAGTTACTTCAGGCCATCTGGGCACATACGTGCAAGTCACAGGGGATGCTTGCACAGGGGATGCGATGGCTTGGCTTGGGCTCAGAGGCCTGACATTCCTGCCTTCTTATATTAATAAGAAAAATAAAACAGTGTTGAAGTGTTGGGGCGGCGAAAATTTTTGGGGAGTGGTATGGAGAGAGAATGGGTGAAATTTCTCAGGGCTGCTTCAAGCGGGATTAGGGGTGGCATCGGAACCTAGAGTGGGAGAGATTAAGCTGAAGGGAGATCTTGTGGTAAGGGGTGATATTGTGGGGATGTTAGAAGAAACATTTGTCGTATAGAATGATTGGTGATGGCCTGGATACAGTTTTGGATGAATTGAAAAACTAAATGGAATAACAGAAGGAGAAAAACAGGTATAAAAGGTCTAAGAATTGGGACGACTCAGGATACCTGATTAGAGAGTGCCTAAGGAGATTCAGCATAGTCCTGCCAGCAAAGATTATTTATTTACTTCAAGAGTTAAGAGTGGCAGTTTGGGGATAACACCAGGAGATATCAGCTGTGATGGCTTGGAGAAACAGTGTAAACTGGCAGTGTAAACAAGAGCAGGGCATGTATGAGTAGTTGAGAACAGTGAATAGGAGTATGACTAGACAAAAGATAGTAGGGATGACAAGTTTTTTTGGGGCACAGTCTAAGTTGGTCTGGTGTCGAATGAGACTGGGGCCTAATAAAAAGGAGTGTCTATACAGGAGCTTAAATGGGCTGTACCTTGTAACATTCCGAGGACAGGCCTGAATTCTGAGAAGCGAAAGTGGTAAAAGTATTGTCCAGTCCTTTTTAAGTTGGTGGCTGAGCTTGGTGAGGTGTGTTTTGAAAAGACCTTTAGTCCATTCTACTTTTCCTGAAGACGGAGGACTGTAAGGGATATAAAGGTTTCACTGAATACTAAGAGCCTGAAAAACTGCTTGGCTGAATTGACTAATAAAGGCTGGTCTGTTATCAGACTGTATAGAGGTGGGAAGGCTAAACTGAGGAATTATGTCTGACAGAAGGGAAGAAATGACTGCAGTGGCCTTCTCAGACCCTGTAGGAAAGGCCTTTACTTATTCAGTGAAAGTGTCTATTTAGACTAAGAGGTATTTTAGTTTCCTGACTCAGGCATGTTGAGTAAAGCTAATTTGCCAGTCCTGGGTAGGGGCAAATCCTCGAGCTTGATGTGTAGGCAAGAGAGGGGGCCTGAATAATCCCTGAGGAGTAGTAGAATAGCAGATGGAACACTGAGAAGTTATTTCCTTTGAGGATAGATTTCCATGATGGAAAGGAAATGAGAGTTTCTGAGAGGCGGGCTAGTGGCTTGTACTATAGCATAGCCTGCCTTTGCTGGTGTGTGGCGATTAGGCCTGGTGGAACCGCCAGCAATAAATCAAGCGTGATCAGGGTGAGGAACAGGAAAGAAGGAAATATGGGGAAATGGGGTGAATATCAGGTGAATCAGAGAGATACAGTCATGGGGGTCAGGTGTGGTATCAGGAATAATGTGAGAGGCCAGATTGAAGTCCGGGTAGGAACAATGGTAATTGTGGGACTTTAAAGAGTGAATACAGCTGAAGGAGCCGGGGAGCAGAAAGTATATGCGTCAGGTACGAGTAAGAGAATAGATTTTGGAAGTTATGAGAAATGTAGAGAGTGAGTTGAGCATATTTTGTGATTTTTAGGGCCTCTAACAGTATTAAAGCAGTGGCAGCCGCTGCACGCAGACATGAGGGCTAGGCTAAAACAGTAAGGTCAAGTTGTTTGGACAGAAAGGCTACAGGGTGTGGTCCTGGTTCTTGTGTAAGAATTCTGACCACACTAACCATGCCTAGGAAGGAAAGGAGTTGTTGCTTTGTAGAAGGTGCTGGGGTTTGAGAGATCAGTCGGACAGGATTGGCAGGGAGAGCACGTGTGTTTTTATGAGAATTATGCTGAGATAGGTAACAGATGAGGAATAAATTTGGGCTTGATTGAAGTAATGGGGGCTGTCTGTGAAGCTTTGCGGCAGTACAGCCTAGGTAATTTGCTGAGCTTGATGGGTGTCAGGGTCAGTCCAAGTGAAAGTGGAGAGGCTGGGATTAAGGGTGCAAAGGAATAGTAAAGAAAGCATGTTTGAGATCTAGAACAGAATAATGGGTTTTAGAGGCAGGTATTGAGGATAGGAGAGTATATGGGTTTGGCACCACGGGGTGGATAGGCAAAACAATTTGGGTGATAAGGTGCAGATCCTGAACTAACTTGTAACGCTTGTCTGGTTTTAGGACAGGTAAAATGGGGGAATTGTAAGGAGAGTTTATAGGCTTTCAAAGGCCATGCTGTAGCAGGTGAGTGATAACAAGCTTTGATCCTTTCAAAGCATGCTGTGGGATGGCATATTGGCATTGAGTGGGGTAAGGGTGATTAGGTTTTAATGAGATGGTAAGGGGTGCATGATCGGTCGCCAAGGAGGGAGTAGAGGTATCTTATACTTGTGGGTTGAGGTGGGGGGATACAAGAGGAGGACGCAAAGGAGGCTTTGGATTGGGAAGAAGGGCAGCAATGAGATATAGCTGTAGTCCAGGAATAGTCAGGGAAGCAGATAATTTAGTTAAAGTGTCTCAGCCTAATAAGGGAATTGGGCAGGTGGGGATAACTAAAAAGGAGTGCTTAAAAGAGTACTGTCTAAGTTGGCACCAGAGTTGGGGAGTTTTAAGAGGTTTAGAAGCCTGGCTGTCAATACCCACAACAGTTATGGAGGCAAGGGAAACAGGCCCTTGAAAAGAAGGTAATGTGGAGTGGGTAGCCTCCGTATTGACTAAGAAGGGGATGGGCTTACCTTCCACTGTGAGGGTTACCCGAAGTTCGGCGTCCGTGATGGTCTAGGGGGCTTCTGAGGCGATCCAGCAGTGTCAGTCTTCAGCAGCTAAGCCAAGAAGATCTGGGAAGGAGTCAGTCAGACAGCCTTGGGCGAGAGTTCCACGGGCTCTGGGAGTGGCAGCCAGGTGAGTTGAACATTCTGATTTTCAGTGGGGTCCCACACAGATGGGATGCGGCTTAGGAGGAATCCCGGGCTGCGGGCATTCCTTGGCCCAGTGGCCAGATTTCCGGCATGTGTAGCAAGCTCCTGGGGGAGGAGGTTCTGGAGGAATGCCTGGCTGCTGCCCTTCAGGCGTTTGGAAGTTCTTGTGTACTGGAGATGTGGCTGGGGTTTGTCTCACAGTGGAGGCAAGGAATTGCAACTTTTTTCTGTTATTGTACACCTTGAAGGTGAGGTTAATTAAGTCCTGTTGTGGGGTTTGAGGGCCAGATTCCAATTTTTGGAGTTTTATTTAATGTCAGGAGCAGATTGGGTAATAAAATGTATATTGAGAATAAGACGGCCTTTAGACCGGAAATAAGGGATTGGGGCATAGAGATAAGAGGTTGGGCTGTGGAAATAAGCAATTGGGGCACAGAGATAAGAGGTTGGGGTGCAGAAATAAGGGATTGGGTGCAGAGATATAAGAGGTTGGGGCGCAGAAATAAGGGATTGGGGTGCAGAGATATGACGTTGGGGCGTGGAAATAAGGGATTGGGGCGCAGAGATATAAGAAGTCGAGGGTCGCAAGGTGCTCAGTGGGGGTGCTTTTTTAGCCAGGATGAGCCAGGAAAAGGACTTTCACAAGGTAATGTCATCACTTAAGGCAAGGACCAGCCATTTACACTCCTTTTGTGGTGGACTGTCATCAGTTAAGGTGGGGCAGGGCATAGTCACTTCTTTTGTGATTCTTCAGTTACTTCAGGCCATCTGGGCGTATACATGCAAGTCACAGGGGATGCGATGGCTTGGCTTGGGCTCAGAGGCCTGACACAAACTTCTAAGTATAATTCGAGGACAGAAGCTCTGGTTTTATTGAATTACATGGCACAGCAGAAATCAGTCTTAGGAAAAAATTATATTGCAGAGAGTCTCCAGAATCATCTCATTACACGTTCTACACATGTACCGAAATTTCACAAACACCCCATGTAAACCTAAAAGTATCTGAGACAGGTCTCAATCAATTTAGATGTTTATTTTGCCAAAGTTAAGGACATGGTCCATGACATAGCCTCAGGAGATCCTGAGAACATGTGCCCAAGTTGGTTGGGTTATAGCTAGAATTTATACAATTTAGAAAAACAGAAGTTGCAGATAAAGACATAAGTCCATACATGTAAGTTATACATTGATTCAACCTGAAAAGGCAGGACATCTCAAAGTGGGGGTGGGGTGGGGAGAGTTAGGGAGGTTGGGGGGGGGGTCCAAGATCATAAGTGGATTCAAAAATTTCCCTTTTTTTTCTTCTTCTTTTTTTTTTTTTTTTTGATGAAGTCTCATTCTGTCACCCAGGCCGGAGTGCAATGGTGTGATCTCAGCCCACTGCAACCTCCGCCTCCTGGGTTTAAGCAAATCTCCTGCCTCAGCCTCCTGAGTAGCTGGTATTACAGGTATGCACCACCACACCCAGCTAATTTTTGTATTTTTAGTAGAGATGGGATTTTGCCATGTTGGCCAGGATGGTCTCAAACTCCTGACCTCAGGTGATCCACCGGCCTTGGCCTCCAAAAGTGCTGGGATTACAGACATAAGCCACCGCATCCAGTCAGACTCAAAGATTTTCTGATTGGCAATCAGCTGAAAGAGTTAAACTCTTCCTGAATAGGTGAAGTCAGCTTGAGTTAAGTTAAGGTGGGCGGTTGTGGAAGCCAAAGTTCTTGTCATGTAGATGAAGCTTCCAGGTAGCAGCTTCAAAGAGAATACATGGTAAATGGCTTTCATCTGAAATTACAAGGTGTCAGACTCTTAATTAAATTTACTCCTGGATGAGGGGAAGACCTAGAAAGGGAAGTGGATTCTCTACAAATGTATATTTCCCACACAAGAGGCCACTTTGCAGGGCTTTTAATAAATATATCAAGGAAATATATTTTAGGGTAAAATACTTTGATTTCCTTTTAGGCCTGTTATCTGTCATGTGATGCTATACCAGAGTCAGTTGAAGTTGATATCTAATTGCTACCAAGAGTCTGTTCTGTTCATCTTAGGATATCTATTTTCATGTTAATACTGGTCAGTTGTGTCTAAATTCCAAAAGGGAGAGGATATAATGAGGTATGTCCAACCACCACTTCATGACATGGCCTTGAAACTGCCTTTGCAAAAATTATAACCGAGACAATTATTACATTGAGAGAGTCCTGACCTAACTGACTCCATCTTGCTTCTAACCTCTAAGCTATCCTTGTTCATTCCTGGGTTAGGCCAAACTAACTTTGGGAGGAACTTAGTTTATGGTTTAGCTTTGAAACAAAGACAATAACAGCCGTTTCTCAGACCAATGCCCCTTCCTACCTGGGGACTAGACTGCCTTTGCAGGTCTAATAAATTAGACACAAGATTAAAAATTATAGTTTAGGAGTCATGCAGCTGGAGGCTGCAAGATTCTAAACCACCCCAAATTGCTCCTGGGGATAACATAACTATTGTAAAATCTAAGATCAGTGCTTAAAATATTTTGCAGACCCTGCACACAATGGATCAGCTGGTGATATAGGATTTTTCTCAGCCCTGTCAATGAACTCAGGGAAGGGGCCCCCCATCCACTTGGCCCACTGTGCTCAACCCGTTGTGGGAGGGAGCATGTGAGCTAGTAAGTGTGGGATCTGGCTGGCCGCTCCAGGCATCAACACAGGAGTAAGCTCCATCCGGGGCCTGCGGCCAGACCAGGCATGTCACCTCGAGGACAACGCAGTGCCCAGGTGAGGATGCCCACAACCCTGAAGCCCCAAAGGGGTATCACAGAGCTCCTTTGGTTCTGTCAACCATGGATGGCAGTGTGTTAGCAGCTCAACTGGCCCTTTGAATCGTCATTCAGGGCAGCTGCCCTCCACTGGTGAGGGCAAAGGGCCAGTGTGACAGTATTTCTGAGTACTCACACTTGGTGTGTCCCAAACTCTTGTCCAGCATACAAGAAGAATGAAGTCGTGAAGATGATTGAAAGATTGTGAAGGCGAACAGTTTTATACAGTGATGAAAATGTCTCTTAGCAGAGAGGGGAGCTGGAGAGAGGGCAGGAAGGGCAGGTCCTTTTCCCCAAAGCCAGGTTGTCTCTCCCCTGAAGTCAGGCCATCTTCTCCTCTACTGACTGAGTCTAGGGTCTTCATAGACACAGGATGGGGAGTGCATACCAATTGGTTTGTAAGTATGCAAAAAAGGTTAAGGCGAAGACACCACTCAAAGGTGGGCATGACAGTGTAGAAAGCCAATTAGGAAAGGGTAGGCATATGTAAAATAGGTGAAGGGCAGGGATCAATCAGAGGAAAGCACACCAAACTGGAAGACAAGTTCTCACTCTTGTCAGGATTTAACTTGTAGCTTGACTTTCAGGCTGTAAACTGTCTCTGGCTTGGAACTGGGCTTCACCCGGTACCCACTCCTATCTGCCTAGACATTTTGCTGCCTCCTATCATTGTCACTGGCACCACCAGGATTATAAAATTTGCTCATTTTGTCTTGTGGCCCCCACCCAGGAACTGACTCAGCTCAAGAGAACAGCTTCAACTCCCTCTGATTTCATCTCTGACCCGACCAATCAGAACTCCCCACTCCCTGTCCCCCTACCCACCAAATTATCCTTAAAAAACTCTGAACCCTGAATGCTTGGGGAGACTGATTTGAGCAATAATAAAACTCTGATCTCCTACATGGCCAGCTGTAGGTGAATTACTTTTTCTCTATTGCTATACCCCTGTCTTTATAAATTGACTCTGTCTAGGCAGTGGGCAAGATGAATCCTTTAAGCAGTTACAGCCTGAACTCATTTTTCAGGTTTCTTTGTAATCTCCTTGGCTGAAAGGGTGACCTATTCAGTCAAATGAGGGGCTTAGAATTTTAATTTTGGTTTGTACCCATAAATATGTGCAAATATAATGTATTAAACAATTTTCATAAAAATAATTAAAATAGTTTTCAAATGACAATATGTAGGATATAATATGCGGTAGTCACTCATCTTCTTTCCTGCATACCTATCCAAGATATTGATTTTTTTTAAGGTTAAGAAAAATGCAGCAAATCAGAAAAAAACAAAACAAAACTGTTTTTTGCTCTGTGCACATTAACTTGTATATAGACTCTGCCCTTTAAGGTAAGCCCTGTGAGTTATTTGAAATCTTTTGCTTCTGAATTCTCAGCCTACTTGGCTTATTTTATCTGAAAGTCAAGACCTTGTTAAATATAGGCATAAAGTAAAATATCTTAAACCTTTCAGCAAAGTATGGCTCTCCTTCCTACCCCATCCCACTCTCTGCACTGGTGGCCTCCCTTACAATGTTATATCTGTTTACTTCTGTCAATCAATAAAAATGACAAAAGCCTAAATCATTTTAGGTTTATTTGCAAAGTTAAGGATGTACATGAAGAAGACGGGTCTATGTCTTTCTTCAAAGATGATGTTGAGGGCTCCAAATTTAAAGGGAAAAGGACGGGATATTGAGAAGTACACAATTTTCATGTAAGAGGGGGGTAGGGAAAAATAGTTATTGATTCCTTTGTCTGGCTCAGTGAATCTGCATTTTTTTGACATAAAATGGCATAGACAAATGGAGCAGAGAAAAAATTCAGGGAATCTGCATTTTTCACATAAGATAACATAGATAAAATGGGGCAGGGGGACAATCAGATATGCATTTGTGTCTAGTGGGCAGGGGGCTGACTGCACCTGTAAATATAAGCTTCAATTTACATTGCTATGGTGAAATCTTAACAGAAATCCCTTAGGGTAAAGATCTTGGCGCTTACTAGGAATTTGCTTGTGGGCAAAAAAATACACGGAAAGGAATTTCCATGTAGCTTTTCAGCTTGTAGCAAACTTATTTAGGAACCAAAAGGAGAGGGGGAGTTCCCAGCTCGACTTTTTGTTTAGCTTAGTGATTTTGGGGCCCCAAGATTTAGTTTCATAACTTGATCACTTTGAAACTAATATGTAATTGAAATATTTATTATTTTTATATTCACTTTTTTCCTCTGACTAGAATGTAAATATTATGAGAGTAGATATTTTTGTCTATTTCTTTCATTAACATCTGGCAGATAAGTTGTATTCAATACATGTTTATGAAGTAAACTTCTAGAATAGCATGAGTTCAATGAATGCTACTTGAATTTGAATATCAATTAAAATTGTGCCAGATCTTCAAACCATTATCCATTTATATGGAGTGTTCTTATAATGATTACTTAATTTTATTGGATGGAACTTCAATAGATTTTTTTTTTTATTGAAAGAAAACTCAAAAGCCATACACATAACCTCATACCAAGGTCTCTGAAAGAAAGTTTGTAACCTCTGAACAACTTTACAGAGGTGTCTACTTGACAACACAGCACACTCCATTTTTTAACCAGTTATGTTGGTAATGTCGATCTTAGAACATGCCAAGCTATTAATTACAACTTTCCCTCATGGCAATACATTCTCACATCAGCCTTCAGGGATGAAAGAGGGAAGCAACCATGGGCTTAGCCAGGTCAAGTGCTAGAGGTGGGACTAGCATGGCAATGGATTCAGAGGCATTAGATTTAGAAGCCTGTAGAGCATGTTAGGAATAGACTCCCTAGGACATTCAAGCAAAAGCTGAGGGCCAGCTTTTTGAGATATTAGATAAATGGGAATATTTTCAGACAGGAAGAAAGCATGAGGACAAACTAGAAGAGAAGGAATTCTAAATAGTTTCCTCTACCAGTTCATACCCACTATAAAATCTATTTCCACCATAAAAATCTAAATACACATGTGAGCTTTGATTAGAGTAAAAACTATAGTCTCCCTATAATTTAATATTATAGTTATATTCATGAAGCCTGTTTATTCTTGATTTTTAGCAGACACATACTTTTGGCGAAAAGCAGTTAATACTGAGCTTGAAGAAAATTAACTCCATTAGAAATCTTCATCAGGATTTAGTACTAAGTCAGGACTTCCTTAACCAGGCTTTGTGCGATAGAGTCTGTGAATACAAAATTAGGGCTTACTTTCTTCCCATTTTCAATCTAATTAGTAGAGACTATCCTCTTGCTTTGCCAATAATTGTATTTTGATGCTAGCAATCAACCTTTAAGCTATCCCTTCTAGATGTGTTAAATTCATGAACTAAATAAGGTATGCTTTCCTTTTTTTTTTTTTTCCCTATAAAATGCTTAAAGGTTGGAATGGTCAATGGGGTGAAGAAGCCAGGGCATACCCTGAAAGACCTACTAGAAAATGACTATGCCAAGTGCTTAGCTGTGTGCTCGACTTTAGTTATTTCCTTTAATTTCCACACCGTAATTAATAGATAAAAATAAAGCTCCAATAAAATTAAGCAGATCATTCAGGGATCATTCACTAATTAAGTGATTGAAGAAGAATGAAACCAGGCTCAAAACCAAAAACTCATATTTATTCTGTTGTATTCTGTCCTGTTCTATCCTATTCTATTTGATTCCATTCTATTTTTGGTTTTGTCAAATTGTACTTAATTTTGTTCCCCATCACATTACTGTAATTTTAAGATGTCTTTGCAGACAGTGATATTTAAAACTACAAATGGTGCTTTGATCAAATCTAGATAGTTTGTTAGTATAATAATGGAAAGAGAATTGGTACATTTGAGTTATTCTTTCCACTGTGTTATGCTGCTTGTTATTGTCCTAGAATTTTGCTACAGAATATTCAACCCTGTAAGATTAGATGGCTAAAGTATTGACATAATTTGTAATGATTTCTCACATATGACTGACAGAAGTTTCTAAATAATGATTGCACTTTTGTTTCTTTGCTTTGTTTTGGTTTGGTTTGTTTAAATTCTGGCTTATAAATCACTCAGCCTGGAGACAAGTTCATTTAAAGCCAGATAATTCCCTTTGACTATTTTTTCCTCTTACACATAAGTTTAAATATACTTGATTTACTCCATAAATTTAAATATAATCAACTCTGGAAGTTCATTTTGCTTAATAGGAGAAAAACCTGTAGATTATTTCTGTTCTATGTGTCTTTTGTTAACATTGCACTATTTGTCCCAAGCAGTGGTTTATTCTTTACTTCTTTTTTTTTTATTTGAATAAGCATAAAAAATTAACTGACATCTAAAAGTTTTACATTTAAAAACAGCATTAAGTATCTGTATCACAAAATAGGAATTTGTTTAAAGCCTTCTCTTGACATTCCCAGTGGAAAAAAAAAAATGTCTAAATTGATCAAACCATGACCCTAGGTATATTCTCTATTCCACATAGCTCAATGTCAATTAAAAACTAAATCATGCCTTTATTTTTTGGGTTTTAAATCTAAAATACAAGTATATTAATGTTTTGATTGTTTTTAAAAATACAGAAAAACATGGTAAAAATAAAACATTGCTGTATAGGCAAGTGTTTAATATTTTAAATCGCCATGATTTACATGTAATAAGAAATGCCCATCTTTCTATATCAATACATACAAAAACAAAACAACTAAAAATCCTCAATTTTATTGCTGAATTTTATTGTATGGCTTAATTATACTAAATAACTTATTACTAGACATTTGGATTGTTTACATTTTAGGGGCATCAATAGTAAATTGCAGTCAAAATTCTTTTTTACAGTCCAATCTTAATTTGATTGAGGTTCTAAAAATCAACTGTCAAAGTGTACTATCTCAGTTACAAGTCTGTACTGTTCAAGTTTTTAAAACACATTATTAAACTACTGTCTAGACATGCCATACCAATTTATATTGCAAACTTTAATGTATAGCCATCTATTTTCCTAAATTGTAGAAAAAGCTTGATATTACCATTTAAAATAATGTTTGGCTATCTATTGAGTCAAGAATAGTACTACACTTTTACTTTACTTGGCATATTTAAATCCTAATAAGACTAATCATGTTTTTGCGTACTTTTCATACAGTGCTTTCTTATTGTGCTTAACCAAAGTGTTTTAAGAACCCTTGCATGCCTGGTTCGCCAGAGTTCTTTCTGATAGAAAAATAAACTGGCCCGGTGTGGTGGCTCATGCTTGTAATACCATAACTTTGGAAGGCTGAGGTGGGCAGAACCTTAAGAAATAAAGTGTGAAAATGTATAGTCATATCCAAAGTAAAATTCAAATAGAATTGATCTCTAACATTTTTTTCCTCTTTGACAAACAAATTCTGTATTGCCTAAAACAAATTGTCTTGCCAGAAACAAATTTCAAAAGAAATATTTCAACCATGTTGTCCAACTGCCATAACATTTTTAAAGCACAAAATTTATTAAACAGATCAAGATAAATGAAACTCAGATTTATAAAAAAATTTACAATAACTTAGAAAAAACATCCTACTCCTCTGCCTGCTTCTGAACTATTCTAAAACTTTCCAAGTTAATGGAGTATCTTATGCTGTCTCAAAATGAGGAGCAGTTACTAAGTCACATAATTTCTAAGCACTCCCTTCTTTCCTATGAAACATTGGTTTCACACTGAACACTTACCCAAACATCTCTATTTCATCAGAAGGCTTTTGTCAACAGAAAATGGACCAAAACATTTTGTTGCTTTTGACAACAAAAGAGTTATAAATCTCATTTTACTACCATACTTAAGTAAAAATTGTAATTTTATTCTATTTTAACTCAATTGCTTATTGCCCTCAGATTTTTAAAAATTAATAGACGAGAAAATATTGTTTTAAAAAGTAACATCATATGGTTGTAGCTGTGGCATAGCAAAAAAACAGGCCCACTCAAGGTCTGCTCTGAATGTAGTGCTGCTGGCCTCTGTTATAACAACCCAAAATGGGAAATCAAAGGTTGATGCCTCTGCTGGTCTGCTGTCATATTGTCCCTTACCCAGGCAGTAAGTACTGTGATTTTGGTCAGCTTTATGCTTTCAGCAGAACAAAAAGGCTCTTATTCATAATAGTGCCTGGCCACTAACCTGTTGGATTGGTCTGACTGGGTGAGGGTCAGCTCTCCAATCTCTGTAAATTACATATTATTTTTATTGTTCTGCCTGGGAGCTTGTAACATTTTCTCTTTGTCCTTGGCATTTTGTAGCTACAGCCGGATAGGACTAGATTTGCCCTTTCTTACCAAGCTGCCTGGAACTCTGTGAACATTTTCAATTTTCTGATTCTTAGTGCAAGGAAATTTTATGCTAACGTGTGTGTGTGTGTGTGTGTGTGTGTGTTGTCTCATCTCCTCTATATCTATGTTTATTTTTTTTTCATTTTCTGAACCTTATTATTCACATGAGAGTTTTCCTGGATCTAGAAATGAAACATAAGTCTGAGGACTGTGTGCTAGGTAAATACTTCCCATATGTTGTATGAGCAGCAGTCCTACTTAATGAAACCTCTGGATTCTTAACTTTTTCCCCTGGATTTCTAGGTCTGTGTATATTCGTTATAACTTTTCAGATGTTTCTTTCACTTGGTTGTCCAGATCACCAATTCAGGTCTTAACATTGACCATCCTTTTATTTTTTTCCTATTCATCTACTAAAACATTTGAATATTACTATATCTTAGTGACACAAAAATATTTGTGTGCTAGAATACATTTTCATGAAGTACTCGTTGTGTTATTGTTGTTTGCATTGAAGTTGATATCTACTCTCATGAATTGGTATTTCTCTAAGAATAGTCTGTTTCTGCACTTCTGTGTTTTCTTCTCCATGCTAGGTCCAGGGTGCATGCTAGTGTGTATTCATTGGCCTCAGCTAGTCATTGAAGGTCATATCTAGTTGTCGGGCATCCTAGGCCATAGTAACTCCCCCAGGCAACTGTCTGTGTCGTGGTCTTTTTTCCTATGAGCCTGTGGTGTCCCAGCCACCAAGTTGGAAGTAGTGGCTCCAGGAAAAAATACGTTTCCACATTCACTGATTCAGTGGCAGGGGTAGTAGGAATAAAAGCTCATTTAGTTTCTCCTGCTTTCCTCAGCTGGCCCTCCACCATAGTATCTCCCTAGTGGGGCTACACTTCCACTGCAGGATGTATGTGGATTTACCCATGTGGAATACCCTGCAGGATGATGTGTTTTTTGAGATGGAGTCTCCCTTTGCCGCCCAGGCAGACCACAGGTGATCAGCCCACCTTGGCCTCCGAAAGTGCTGGGATTACAGGAAAGAGCTGCCACGTTCTGCCTTAACTTTATCTCTTGAGATATCAATACTTCTCTTTTTCAAACCTAATAGTTAATGACAAACATCCAATGCCTAACATTTAGAGTTGGAGAAGATACACTAATGAGCTAATATGTGCCCTAAGTCTACCAATTAAAGAGCCTGTTCTATAATTAGCATGGTATCATCTAATATTTTGTCTACACATACTTAACAAAGGTATAATATACATAACATATTAAAATGTGTTTTGGTATAATTTGGCTATTTCCATTGGGTGAAAAGATATGAAAACAGTCTATTGTGAGACATTTAATATTAAGGCTTTTCCCCATATTTGGCTTTCATAATACAGTAACAGCTAAGTAATACTGATTACATAATGTCACACTAGAATACTGCTTTAGATACATATTCTGCATTTTTAAGATAACCTATTATGCAGGTGTTTTAATTTTGTTTTATAAAGTTTGTCTTGATTCAAAGTTTAGGCTGTTTCCCACAGAATAAATTAATAATTACATATATATATTTTAGAGATTTCTATTCAAAAATTATTTAAAATAATATAGGAAATGGCATTATAAAATATAATTTGTTCATATTTTAATGCAAATACATACCTCTCTCAAAGCAAATGACTAATTATTTGCAAATTAAATATGTGACTCTTCCTCACAAAGATAAATTATTATCTACTATTTGTATTCTCACATCATCCAAAGCCTGCAAGCTTATACCTACTCTTTGTAATACAAAGCTGTTCATAGCTGACTGGAGTTAGGGAAGTTGTTACATTTCATAAAGGCAAATAAAACTTAAATAGTTTAATAATATGTGGATATGTGTGTGCATATATATGTATACATATATGACAAGATATAAACTTATCACAAAATTGATGATGCTAATCTAGATTTTCACTTTACTGCTTTGCATTCTTAAATCATCATAAAATGAATGATTAAAAAATTACAGCATCATAGAAATATGTATAGGTCTAAAATGTAATTAACATGTTTTGCTTTCAATGTTTATGTGCAAAATTAATATACATGATCACTAAGAGATTATTTCAATACAATAAATAAAATCCACACAGAGGCATTGAAACTTAGAGATAGCTCCTTAATTTTGAGAGATTGTTGTCTCAGATACAAAGCATTAGTTATGAAATGTGGGCTTATTAATTTATGATACCTGCAAATAAATATGTAGCCAGTAACGTTTTCTTCCTAATTTTATGTATTCATTTTCAAATGCCTTATGAAACTTCTGTATTTATTTTAATTTAATTTTTGATGTGTCAAAAGTGTAGTCTCAGAAAATTTCACCTAAGACCCTGGCATAGTCGTTCATACCTGTAATCCCAGTACTTCGTGAGGCTGAGGCTGGAGAAGTACTTGAAGCCAGGAGACCAGCCTGGGCAACAAAGAGAGATCCTCATCTCTACAAAAATTAAAAAAAAAAAAAATCCAGGCATAGTGGTGCATACTTGTTTTCCCAGCTACTTTTGGGGCTGATGCTGGAACCTTGAGCCAAAACTTGGAGGCTGCAGTGAACTATGATTGTGCCACTGTAATCCAGCCTGAGCAACAAGTGGGACACTGTCTCTAAAAAACAAAGAAAAAGGAAAGAAAATTTATCTATATTGACTTTAATGACTTTGTGCTATTTACAAAGACAGTTCTAATTAGATATTGAGATTCATATAATAATTTATATGAGGCATCACAATCCATCAGTGTTACATCTCTCTGCCCTTAGCTATTGCTTGCACTGAACTTAAATATATTTTTCAGTATATTTGGATAACAATTACTATTGCAAAAGAATGAACATTGGGGTTTAGCCCAAGCAAAATCAGTATGTATAGAGCCAATGAAGGCATTGTATTTGCTTTATGCCAATTTTTTCATGACAGTTATACCAACTGGGAACTTGAAGTAGACTTTTAGTCTTTTACTACTTTAGGAGAATATTTATTTGATTTATAGCCAAAATGTGAAGATGGAATTGTTTTCTCCAAAAAACATGCACTCCATTTAAAGTGTTTCTCCATCATCAAATATACTTTTTAATAAAATGAAAGTGTATATTTATTTTTACAAATCTCACGTTTTGCATCGTTTGAAGTGTAATATATGACTTGCACTAATCTTGGTAGTTCTTGAACAATACATGCTCAAATGGTAAAAATTTGTTTAACTAAATGGCACATAGGCAAAGAATAAAACTGCTGTCAAGGATACAATATAGTCACATTAGGCATCTACACTTTGAGAAGGGAGTACAGCTACCAAGACAAATTAATCTCTTGGGAATTATAAAGCCACGCTTTACATTACAGCAAAAATATCAATGAAGCAAAGTGATCTACCCTGAAAGTTATTAGAGAAGCCTGAGAGGAAGTGAAATGTAAGAGAATAAACCTTACAAGAGAATGTAAATTCAGAACCCTGCCAAAACTAATGATGATGCCCATTTGAATTATATCTTGAACATTATAGAGCATAGGTGTACTGTTTATCAGATTAGATCTCATGCAATCCTGGCCCAATTATAGTCTAGTTTCTCCCTGCTCCATATTGATCCCCTTTACAGGTGTCTTATGTTTAAGACACCTAACTGTAGTTTACAGCTGAGGCTGTAATGTGCCTCACATTACAGTGATGTGGGGCTGGGACTCTGCAGATTACAACTGTCTTTACCAAATGACTTCCAGGTAGTATTTGCTAAAACCTGTCACAGAGTCAGATTGGAAGGCAGGAGGAGGGGGAAAGACTTCTGCCTTACCATATGCTTGAAGTTTCTGGCAGACCCGCCTGAGCAATGATGCTTCATCACAACAGTGCTCCCCAAACCAGCCTTACTACTGAATCCCATAAGAGATACTAGCAGCAGTTGAATTGTTCTGCTCTCTAAGAGACCTGGGTGCATGTCCCTTAATTCTGATATACTGAAATTTCACCTTTGTTTCCTCAGTCCTAGGGACAGAGGCTAATTGTACAGTTATTACTTCTGGGTTATCTCAATGCTCTTTTTGTGTTCTTCCATCTGTCAAATTCTGATGTTACAAATCCTTATATCAAATTCACTTTGCTAAAATATCCAGTGAACTTTAGAGTAGCCTAACCATACTGATAAAGATAACCTGGCGACTAATGATCTCCACATATTCAATTAAATATCCCAAGTATTTATGGTTCAAAAGTAAGATATACTGTCAGTACCCCAGCTGTAAAGCCACTACCATTTTTACAGCTTGGGAAACAAAGTGGCTGCCCAAATGTGTTCTATGTGGTTTAATTTATTATCCTCCTTCCTACCAGACAGAATTAATCACTGAACAACTTCATTTCCCAATTAATGGTGATCAGTTGTTTTTATTTCAGAAATATTCTGTTTGTTTAGGTTTATTTCACTCTTTGTAATTTATTGCCTTAGTGATAATTCAAGCTTTTATTGTTCAGAAATAAGACAGTGTCAGTGCCTCAGCTATAAACTACTGTTAGGTGTCTTAAACATATATAAATATAAGTAATAAGATTACTCTAGGGAGATAGCTGGAATAAAAATAGAAGCGTGGGGACAAGTAATAGGAACATTAGATGTAGAATAGTTTGGTTGGAAAATAATGCTTATTATCAGCATTATTTATGCTTAACGATAATAGAGCTAAGAATGGAAGCTGCCACACCTTACAGTATATTTAATGGTGGATTTGCATTTCTCAAATTGATTCAGTAGACATAGAAAATACACTAAATAGCACAGGCATCTCAACATCTCTCTCAGAAACTGAATAATATAGTAAATAGACAAGAAAAATAAGGTTTGCATCTGTTGTGGAACAAAGGAAGAATGCTATTTATATTTATAGTGGGTGCTACGGACACAGTCAAGTCTCCCATTCAAAGACGGAAACACTCAGGGTCCAGCTGTTAGGACTGTTGGCTCCAGACTCCGCAGACCTGACTGTTGCTGCTGTTTCCACAGCCAAGGGAGATCCTTCACCCAAAGTCACAAAATGACTTTGGTGCTATGTCAATACTAAGGACCAGTCACAGTGGTTCAATTCAGAGGTCTCTGGGAGACATCAAAGCTTCAGAGCCTCACACTTTCCCAGTGGAGGATCCCATTGTATTTGCATCACAGTCAAACTTCTCCCTCTGCCTGACCTTGGGTCCTAATATTTTTCTTTCTTACAGGTGTTAGTCCAGATAGCATCGGGCTAACTGGATCTGAATGTCAAACACTAACTCAGAATATATTTCCCAGGTAACCATACCTAAAAGATACTGAGACGGGGTGGTCATAAGAACAAGACCCCAAAGTATGACTTTGTAACTGGAGCAACTTTAAAACTGGCAGTGAGGATCCTTTCATCAGGTGAAGGTAGAACACTATAGTTCAGGCCATCCCATAGTAGGGTGACTGTTTACATTTTCATTGCTGCTAAATTGCGTTGATAGAAGTGGAAAAGAATAGCTGAGGGGTGGGATATCTCAAGTGCTTGAACAATTGGGAAAAGTGTTCATTGTAAGGTCTGAAGGATCAGATGGCTCTAGCTGGGAGCTGTCAAGGTACCGAAGGAAAACAATGAAAAGTACAGTGTAATTAATCGAGATTTAAAAGCCAAATGTGAAAGCCAGAGGGCATACTTGGTAACTCATATAGAAACTTTCATCTACTGTATTATAATGCAGAGAAAAAGGAAGGATCAGCGTATAGGTATAACAGAGCTGAGAAGAAGGTTCAATCATCAAAACAAGCAGGCCAACTATAACAATGTTGGGGTCCTAATGCTAGGTGTGGTTCTGAGATTTGGGATGGGAAAAAACTAGGTTTTTCCCTTGGAATTATTGAATCCCTGAATTTCCTCTGGGCCTGCAAATGTGGTCCACTCCTTATAAAAATGTAGGGCTTTTCTCTTGATTGAAGATAATGCAGAAGCTTGTGCATTACAAGGTAATAGATGTCCCCCTTGCCCTCATCTCTCCTCCTGGCCTCCAGGCCATTAACTACAGTTAAATCACAATATCACCCTACTGTGGAACTGCTAGATAGAGAAAAGTAACCATGCCAGGAACACACTGCAGGACCCAGTTAACATTGATAAGTAGTATCTTGAGACTACTTTTGTAGTCTCAAGATTCTAAGGTGGCCAGAATAACAGGAATGTGGGGGGTAGAGCAGAACATAAAGAACATAAAGTTGGATAAAGCAGAACATAAAGTTGGATAAAGGAAAGTGCAATGGACCAATATGCATTTTCCCCCAAATCCAAATGCTGAAATTTTATCCCAATACAATGATATTTGGAGGTGAGACATATTGAAAGTAATCAGGTCATGAGGATGGAGCCCTCATAAACCTGATTAGTGCCCTAATAAGAGGACAGAAAGCTAGCTTGCTCTCTTTCTTCCATGTAAGGATGTAACATAACTCCAGCAGTTTGTAACCTGGAGGAAGGTCTTCTCCCAAACCCAACCTTGTTGGCAGCCTGATCTCTGACTTCCAGACTCCAGAACTGTGAGAAATAAATTTCTGCTGTTTATAAACCACCCAGAATATTGTACTTTGTTATAGTAGCCCAAACTGACTAAGACAGTTTCACAATATGAAAGCACGCCCCAATGACAGAATTTAACGTAATAACGAAACCTCAGGAGCCAATGCAAATATGCTATCAGCTGGCTTTTGAACGCTTGGAGATAGTGATTATCTACACTAAAGTGACACAGATTTGTCAAAACTACCATGGCAGAGAGTAGAAGAAGTGATCAAACAATTCAAGAAAGTGGAATGCTACAGAAGACCAGAAAATTAATCAAGAGACTATGTTCCATGGTAGGGCCTGCAGGACAAAATCCTTACCAAAATAATTAGTAAATCACAACTGAAACAGGCACTAACATCACCCACATACTCATTAGTGGCTCTGCTCTGTATGTGAGGGCTGAAGATATGAGATGCTGTTGCTGAATTGGATTTTCTGATAGCAATGGAAAAAGATTTATGAAATCATAGAGGTCAAGAGGTGGTGATTAATCATCAGAAGTAAGGTGAGTAAAATTATTTTAATGAGTAGAAGAATCTGATTGACATCCAGGGGTGCTTGACCTGCAAAGAGTTGCCAGGATGGTTAAAAAAACATAGCAACACTAGGACAAGAATGACCATTCAAGAAAGGTGGTACTCCATCTATAAGAAGAAATCAAGGATACCGGTCAAGAGGTTGAATGCAACTTCCACAATTAAAAACAATCACAACTTGCCCAATGTTTAAACTTAAGGCAGTTTTCAGATTCAGATCCCCATGACTAGAAGAGAGTTCAGCTCTCCAGGAGAAGGGATTCTACAATGTCATAGCAGGTGAATATGGAAATAACCAACATAATTATTTCCCAAAGGGAAATATGGCTATTACAAGAGTATCTGTAGGTAAAGAAAGGTACTCGCACTTAAAAAAAAATCCAAAACGAAAAAACCAACTGTCATCCAGGCTGGAGTGCAGTGACATTATCATAGTTAACTGTAGCTTCAAACTTCAGGGCTCAAGCAATTCTCCTGCCTCAGTCTCCTGAGTACCTGGGATCATAGGCCTGCATCACTGTGCCTACCTAATGTGTTAAATTGGAGGTCTTGCTTTAATGCCCAGGCTGGTCTCGAACTTCTGGGCTCAAGTGATACTCCAGAGCACTTCGGCCTCCCAAATTTCAGGGATTACAGACATTCAGACATTTTGAGGACTGCAGGCTAGAGGGCTCTCAATTGGATATTATTAGGATATGAAACATCATGGTCCCAATTAGAAGAGTATTAATTACCTATGGCTACTGCAGCAAATTATCAAAATAAGTGGTGGTTTAAAACAAAGCAAATTTATTATCTTACAGTTCTGGAGGACAGAAGACTGAAATCAGTCTCACTTGGCTAAAAATCAAGGCTAGAGCAGGGCTGTTTATTTTTGAAGGCTTCAGGGAGAATCCATTTCCTCACCCTTTTCAGGTTCTAGAGGCCACCCGTGTGATATTTCTTGACTCATGACCTCACGATTCCATCTTTAAACCCAGCAACATGTGGCTTAATTTTCACAGCAAATTACTCTGACCTTGCTCCATAACATCCTTATATCTTCTTCCTTGACTCTGATTCGCTCTCTCTCTTTTCTACTTCCTTTTAATTACAATGAGCTCAACTAGAAATTTCAAGATAATTTCTCCATTGGAAAACTGGTTGAGTAGCAACCTTAATTTTATCAGCAACCTTAATTCACTATTGCCATGTAACAACATATTCACATGTTCTGGAGATTATGTTATCATACTCACCAATGGAAAAATAGATTTATGAAATGACAAATCTATGATGTCCTTAGGGTACCATTGTTCTGTATTCCACATAGCTGTAACATATGAGTCTAGTAATAAAGTGATAACCATCTCTGGCCTGGCTCGTGATGAGTCCAGTAGGTTGATAGAACCACCCAGTGGTCATTTTCTTGGTCTCCGAGGAGATAGTTGGAATGAACATACTATACATTTTGTAGAACCACCATGTCAGTTTCCTGACCTGTGAATAAAGAGCTAACACAGTGGGCAAAGCCAGGTTGAAGTCACTGAAACTACCCAAGAGAGTAGATCCAAAATCATATTACCTCCAAGATAAATCATATTACCTCTGCATGTCACTATCCTTAAAGAACCACAGTGTTCAGTGATGGTGAACATTTAATTGTATTACCATTTAATTCACTCTTCTGGCCCCTACAAGTCAGATGCTGGAAGATGATACGGTACTACACAAACTCAACCAAGTGGAAGTCCTAATGTTTTCCTTCTGTATGAGAAAAAAGAAACAAAAGCACTTTAAACTCATGTGAGACAGACAGCAATGTATACTGATAATATACAGGAGATAGTTGGAACGGAGGACATACTAAATGTTTCGTATAACCACCATGTCAGTTTCCTGACCTGTGAATAAAAAGCTAACGCAGCGGGGAAAGCCAGGTTGAAGTCACTGAAACTACCCAAGCCACTGTCCAAGAGAGTATATCCAAAATCAGATTACCTCCAAGGGAAATGGCTCTGCATGTCACTAACCTTAAAGACCCACAGAGTTCAGTGATGGTGAATATTTAATTGTATCACCATTTATTTCACTCTTCTGGCCCCTACAAGTCAGATGCTAGAAGATGATAGGGTACTACACAAACGCAACCAAGTGGAAGTCCTAACATTTTCCTTCTGTGTGAGAAAGAAGAAACAAAAGCACTTTGAACTCATGTGAGACAGACAGCAATGTATATTGATAATATTGCCTCAGAGCTATGTTAACTTTCTCACCTTCCATAATAGTATAGTTCTATAGGAACTGCACCAGCTGTTCAGTCCACAGAATAACCTAATGGTATACCACTTTCATCATGTTGTATTATTTAGACCAGATGGTCAATATATGGTAAGAATATTAAAGGTCTTGACAAGATATAAGTGCTCTAGAGATTGAGAGATAAACAACCCTAAAAAGATTTGGAAGCTCAGTGAAGTTTTTAGAGTGTCAAGGGTCTTGGCCATGTTGAAAACATCTCTCCAAATAAAAGCCAAATTATTGCATTCTCAAGTATTTTATTCCCCTTCAAATAAAACCAGCTATTCCATCTCAAATTTACCTCCACCTCAAATTTACCTCCATCTCAGATGTTCCTCCATCTTAAGTTTCTCTCCTCTAGGTAGGGAGGACAATTTTTGGTAGATCTCTTCAGATGGGGCTGCAGCTTATTACATTACTGGGAATTCTGCTCCAACCCAGTTACTGAGTGACAAAGAAGGCTGCCCTCTTTGAGTGAGGCAAAAGCACTTTGTAGCAGGTCCAGGCTGAAATTCAAGCACATTGCCTTTTTAGTCCAACAACCTAGTGAACTCTATTGTAAGTATGGTATCTGTGGTAGGATATGATAGCATCGATGGCAAAAGCCAATAGAAGAATCACCGTGAAGAGCCTAGTGTGTTCTGGAACAAGGTCCTACCATCTGCCTCTTTAAAAAATATATCATCTGAAAAATAGAAGGAGAGACAGGGACCTTTTAGGAGCTTCACTTCAGGAAAAAAAATCAAGTAAAAGAGATCAGATTTACCCTTTGATTTTATGAAACAACAACAAAATAGACAAAGAAATGGTTTTCAAGATCTAGACATCAAGGAAGAATTCATTAGAGAAGGGAAGCAAATAAGGGGAATCCTGTTATTGCCTTGAGAGGGTTTCTGTGCATGTTCATACAAAGGCTTGTACGTGAAACTTTTTAGTAGCTTTATTTGCAATAGCCAGTCAGTGGAAACAACCTAAATGTCAATCAAAAGAACAAATGAACAAATTGTCTTATACCCATATAATGGAATACCACTTGACAATAAAAAATTGATACACAATGTAACATGAATGAATTTCAGTATAACTATGCTGAGTGAAAGGAGACAAAAAAGGAAAACATAATCTATGACCTCATTTACATAAAATTCGAAAACTGCAAACTAATCTATGGTGACAGAAAGCAGATCAGTGGTTTCTTAAAGATGAGGGAGATAGGAAAAGACAGGAAACAAGGATTATAAGGGAGTATGAGGAAAATTTGAAGGTAAATTTGAAGGAAAATTGGAGGTAAATCTCTTGGCTGTGGTGACAGTTTTTATTTATAGATTTTAATATTTATTTCTAGAAAACCAAATACAATTAAATTTGCCAATTTAGTCTGTATTTGTAACTACTTTTACTAAATTTATATGTTTCTAAAAATAAAAAGGCAGCTATTTATTCAACATTTTAACCCAAAATGAGTGCCACCAAGGCATCGCTTCCTTGTTGACCGTATCTATTTATAAGGACTGGGTGCTTACTCTCTTTGAAAGATTTGACTGATAACACACATGAAGGTATTGACTGTAATGGCTTTTTTTTAGACAATAAGTGTTTTCATAGGGCTCCCCAGACTTCTATCCTGTAATAGCTTTAGTAGGTTTATTTGTAAGAGTGGTAGTATAACAAGTCATTGCATCTCCAGCACTCCAGGATTGGTTTATGAATATGGCACTGAGATTATCATGATCTCCTCCCTGATCCTTTTCAAAGTGTCAGAAGCTACTGAATGAAGTATTCTCCTCCAAATTATTATAAGTAAATTCTTTGTAGGTCCTGGATAGGTGGTAGTGGTAGCATTTATGCTGTGGAGAGGAGAAGGGAGCTTGGGTAGGACTTACCTGCTTTTCACCTGTCTTCTTAGTACTCTTTTCTCCTGATGGCTAGTGGCTTGACAGTTAATCTGTTCTATCATACATGGGATGATGGCCAAAACCATTCACTCTGGCTTCTTGGAATTGTTCAAAGTTACATCTGATGCATACATGATATCTTAGGGGAATAAATTTGTTTTCTTTAAAAAATTAAAATATTCTCAAAGAATAATTTGCAAACAGAGTTGGCCACCTGCTTTATATTTTCCTCCCTACCACAATCACAAAAACAGAAGTTTGGCCTCACATTATAATAATTTTATGCAAGTACCAGGTGACTTGACTTCAACCTTTGTACAGCATATAAAAATTACTACTCTTCCATCACTTGTGATGGTGATGTTTCTTCAACAGGATCAAGGAACAAACAAAATGTCACATGATTCTAGATAAAATATTTAAAATCTTTATGCTTTTATCAAATCACTTTTGGTTGCTCTCCTGTTTATTAGAATTCAAAATTTGATACATGGTAACAGTGCTATAGAGGTAATAATATTATGTTAGAATATTTCCAAAAGAAAATTGTATACCAACTACAAATTTGAGAGCAAACCCATGAAAATAGACAAGATCTCATCCCAAAATATCACAGGACTTCTTTAATAATATACCTAAAATCTCATAAGCAGTCTTGAAAATTTAAGGGAGGATATTGTTACCTTAAAATGGAAATAAAAAATTATGTTTGTGCATGTGTGTGTATATTAGAAACAATAAACTGATATGATAACATAACATGTATGCATATATGCATGCATATATATGTATTGTGTATGTATTTTGTCTCATTAATTTTTTTAACAAAAGGAAAAAAGAAAAATATAAACAGCAAAATTGAAATGATTAAAGACAAACAGCAAGCTGGAAGGCAAGTCCACAAACATTTTTATAGTCAGAAGGAAGTAGTTAAGCTAGGGAAAATACTTATAAAAGAAAATGCTGAGTGATATAAAATAGTTAAAAGGCCAAATTAACAAAATAAACTAATAGCCAAACAAATGAGAGAAAAAAATAGAAATATTTGGATTAAAAATGACACATTAGTTCCAGAACTAACAAAAGATAAAAGTCCTCCAATTCAAAGAGCTCAAAGAGTGCCAAACAGAATAAATGAGAAAAATGAATAACTATACTCTTAAGATGGAAATTTTAAAAGCTAAACTGTAAAAAGATTCCAGAAAGTGTGTAGCCTGCAGAGGAATCTTATTCACATCACACATTTCAATAGTAACTTTGAAAATACCTATTTCTAATTTGATTGAGTCACTCACTAAATATGAGAAATGAGGAATACATGTAAAGTAATAATGAAAATTAATTTTAAACCTAGTTTTTTTGTATGCCAAACTTTTATTGAAATGAGAAAGTCAGTAAAGATACTATCAGACACACAGGCCTTACTATGTTTAGTGAAAAAAGATCTGCTTTTTGAAATGCAAAGCACAATTAGAGGCAGTACTCTGAAAGGAAGAGAAATAATTAATGGAAGGTTCTATAAGAGATATGAACAGTCAGTATTAGAAAGAAAATATAAAATATTATGAAAAGGAACAAAAAATATCAGGCTGAGAAAATACATACAATTTCACATGCCATCAAACATATCTAAAATATACAAGGAATTCCTGCATTTCAAAAAATTCCAGTAAATATAATATCGATACTACATTTCAATCCCAATAAAATATAGAAATATTTCTCATTTTTTTGCTGAAGAGAAAACAGAAATGAGAATGACTATATGAGTTTTTCAGAGTCACACTTTCAGCAAGTGATTTGGGAAAGGCTATTTAGACATCAGAATTAATGTTTTCCACAAAAGCAGAGAAGCAGGGGATTTTGTACCACTCTTAGGACCCAAGTACAATGACCCTTTTGCATAAATTAGGATGGTTTTATTTGTCACTTAAAACTTGCTAAGATTGAGTTTATTCCTGCTTGTTGACAGAGCTTAGGAAAATGAATACAAGAGAAATGGACAATCCACTGTGCAACTCAAGGATTTCCCTGGATTTTGTTTGCAGGAATCTTCATTGATCCACTCATTAAGAATTTGTTGAATGTCTTATTTGGGCCAAATCAATATTCCCATTGTGGAGCATAAATGTAAGTGATACAAAACTCATGCCTGGGGGTAGGAGAGGAAAACTGATGATGACTTCAAAAAGACGGTGAAAGATATCCAACTTCATCTTGCAGGATGATGAATAGGCTTCTATGTGAACAAATCAGCAGCAGCATTTGGAAAGATATGGAAGCCTTAGTGAATGAGAAATGCTAATTAGAAAAAATCCACATAATATATAACTGATTGTCCTATAACTTAAAAAACTATGTAAAGATAAAAATTTTAATAGAGTTTTTAATATAGTAATTGTTTCTTCAGTAAGGTAGTCTTATGAACATATCTCTTTTGGCAAGATTCAAAGAAATAATTGAAGCAATGTCAGGATAAAAAAAAAGCCATCATAATACTAGAATATTAGTGAGGACAGTAGCCAGTAAAGGACAAACGAGTGGCGATATCTAAGGTATAGAGGTGAATATGAAAAATAAACTAAGAGAATCCTTAATGCAACACATGCAAAACAGAACGTCAGTAAAAATAACAGTTGTCACCAACCATACAGCAGAAGAAAAGCTATACTAAAGTACTTATTATCAATAAGGCCACAATAGTTATTTTCAAAGTTAATATGATCTTATTAAATTTCTCAATTAAAAACAAACACTCATTATTGAGACATAAGAAGGAAGTTCTGATACGAGCTACAATATGGATGCACCTTGAAAACATGCCAAGTAAAATCAGGCAGAAAGGAGAAATTATTATGATTCCACTTATACGACATATCTTTTTTTTTTTTTTTTTTTGAGACAGTGTCTCAGTCTGTCACCCAGACTAGAGTGAAGTGGCAAGATTATGGCTCACTACAACCTCAACCCCTTGCCTCAAATGATCCTCCCACCTCACCCCCTGAGTAGCTGAGACCACAGGCATTTGCCACCCTGCCCAGCTAATTAAAAAAAAAAGTCTCTTGTAGACATATAGACTCACTATGTTGCCTGACTTGGTCTCAGACTCCTAGCCTCAAACGATTCTCCTGTCTCAGTCTCCCAAAGTGCTGGGATTTTAGACATGAGCTATTGTGCAGGGCACTGAAATATCTAAAGTAGGCAAACTTATGGAGACAGAAACTATATTAGTTACCAAGGTTCGAGAGAGAAGGGGGAAAGAAAACTTACTGCCTACTTTGTACAGATTTTCTGTTTGAGGCGATGAAAAAATTATAGAAATAGTGGTGATGTTTGCACAATACTACAAACATAATTAATGGCACTCAGTTGCACACTTAAAACTGGTAAAATTGGAAATTTTTATGTTATATATAATTGACTGTAATTTTTAAAAAAGCCAGACAACTGGGTAAAAACACAATCATAACAGAAATAACTTCAGCTACTACTTTTAAGAAACTATGGCTTCAATAAAGTCTACAGAATGGTTGACTGTAAGAAATATTTAAATTACACCATGAAAATGCTAACAACAAAAATAAAAGACATGGTTATTTCATGAGAGATCAAAAGGTAATTAAAATGGACAATTATATCTTATTTCTAAAAGGATCAATATTTTATAAGGTTCTAATAGTAAAGTGCATATTTCATTCTATAAATTTTTTAAATAAAGCAAATGCCTAAAGTATATTAAATATTAAATTTTATGTTTCTTTCCAATTTTTATGTTAGGCTAAGGGGTTATGTGTGCAGGTTTGTTATATTGGTAAATTGCATGTCACAGGGGTTTGGTCTACAGATAATTTTGTAACTCAGGTAATCTGCATATACCCAATAGGTACTTTTTCAATTCTCACTGTCCTCTCACCCTCCATCTTCAAGTAGGCTCTAGTTCCTATTGTTCCATTTTTGTGTCTATATATACTCAATGTTTAGTTCCACTTATACGTGAGAATATGAAGTATTTGGTTTTCTATTCCTGCTTTAATTAGGTTAGGATAATGGCCTTCAGCTACATCCATGTTGCTGCAAAGACATGATTTCATTCTTACGGCTGTGCAGGATTCCATGAAGTATATGTACCACATTTTCTTAATCCATTCCATCTATGTTGGACATCTGGGTTGATTCCATATCTTTGCTATTGTGAGTAGTGATGCTATGAACTTATGAGTGCATGTGTCTTTATGGTAGAACGATTTATATTCCTTTGGGTATATACCCAGTAATGGGATTGCTAGGTCAAACGGTAGTTCTGTTTTAATTTCTTTGAGAAATCATTAAACTGCTCTTCATGGTGACTGAACTAATGTACATTCTACCAGCAGTGTGTAAGTGTCCCCTTTTCTCCACAACCTCACCAGCATCTGTTATTTTTTGACTTTTTAACAATAGTCATTCTGACTGGTATGAGATGGTATCTCATGTGGTTTTGATTTTCTTTTCCCTACTGATTAATAATTGAGCATTTTTTCATATGCTTATTGGTCACATGTATGTCTTCTTTCAAGAAATGTCTGTTCATGTCTTTTGCCCACTTTTTAATGGGATTGTTAATTTTTTGTTTGGTAAATTGTTTAAGTTTCTTACAGATGCTAGATATTAGACTTTTGTCACATGCATAGTTTTCAAATATTTTCTACCATCCTGTCAGCTGTCTGTTTATTTTGTTGATAGTTTATTTTGCTGTGTAGAAGCTCTTTAGTTTAATTAGGTCCTGCTTGTCAATTTTCATTTTTGTTGCAATTGCTTTTGAAGTCTTCCTCACTAAGTCTTTGCCAGTTTGTTAAAGGTTTGTTTTTTTTTAATTTTAATTTTAATTTTAATTTCCAGGGCACATATGCAGGATGTGCAGGTTTGTTACATAGGTAAACGTGTGCCATGGTGGTTTGCTGCACCTATGAACCTATCACCTAGGGGTTAAGCCCGACATGCATTAGCTATTTTTCCTAATGCTCTCACTCCCCCTGCCCCACCTGCTGACAGGCTCCAGTTTGTGATGTTCCCCTCCCTGTGTCCATGTGTTCTCACTATTCACCTCCCACTTATAAGGGAGAACATGCAGTGTTTGCTTTTTTGTTGATGTGTTAATTTGCTGAGGATAATGGCTTCCAGTTCGATTCGTGTCCCTGCAAAGGACATAATTTCATTCCTTTTTATGGCTGCATAGTATTCCATGGTGTATATGTGCCACATTTTCTTTATCCAGTCTATCAGTGATGGGCATTTGGATCGATTCCATGTCTTTGCTATTGTGAATAGTGCTACAATGAATATACCCTTGCATGTATACCCAAAGGAATATAAACCATTCTATTACAAGGGTTTTTAACATTAAGGGGTGTTGAATTTTATTGAAATTTTATTGAAAACCTTTTCAGCATCTTTTGAGATAATCATGTGGCTTTTGTTTTTATTCTGTTTATGTGATGAATCATATGTATTGATTTGCATATGTTGAACCAACTTTGAATTTCAGGAATAAATCCTGCTTGATTGTGGTGGATTAGCTTTTTGATGTGATGCTGGATTTGGTTTGCTAGTATTTTGTTGAGGATTTTTGCATCAATGTTCATCAAGGATATTGGCCTGAAGTTTACTTTCTTTGTTGTATTTCTGCCAGGTTTTGGTATCAGGATGATGTTGGCCTCATAGAATGAGTTAGAGAGGAGTTTCTCCTTTTCAATATTTTGGAGTTGTTTCAGTAGGAATAGTACCAGCTCTTCTTTATACATCTGGCAGAATTTGGCTGTAAATCCTTCTGGTTCTCAGCTTTTTCTGGTTGGTATGCTTTTTATTAGTGATTCAGTTTTGGAAATTGTTACTGGTGTGTTCAGGGATTCAATTTCTTCCTGGCTCAATCTTGTAAAGATGTATGTTTCCAGAAATTTGTCCATTTCTAGGTTTTCTAGTTTGTGTGCATAGAGAACATGCTTATAGTCATCTGTTAAGATTTTTTGTGTTTCTGGGGGTCAGCGGTAATTTTCCTTTAGTCATTTCTTTTAATTTCTTGTTTTTATTTTTCAAAATTTTTGTGGGTACATAGTCACTGTATATATTTTTGAGGTACATAAGATGGTGTGATACAGGCATACAGTGTGAAATAAGCACATCAGGTAGAATAGAGTATCCATCCCCTCCAGCATTTATCCTTTGAGTTACGAGCAATCCAATTACATTTTTAAGTCATTTAAAATTATATAATTTGGTTATTATTTACTGTAATCACTTTATTGTGCTATAAAATAGTAGGTGTCATTCACTCTTTCTATTTCTTTGTACCCATTAATCATCCCCCCCCCCCCCCACACAATGCCCCATTTCCCCTCCCAACCTCTGGTAACCATTCTTCCACTCTGTATGTCCATGACTACAATTGTTTTGACTTTTAGAACTCACAAATAAGTGAGAACATGCAATGTTTGTCTTTCTGTGTGAAATGTTGCTTATTTCACTAAACATAATGACCTTCAGTTCCATCTTGTTGTTGCAAATGACTGGATCTCATTCTTATCAATAGCCAAATAGTACTCCATCATGTGTATGTGTAATTTCTTTATCCATTCATCTGTTGATGGACACTTAGGTTGCTTCCAAATCTTAGCTATTGTAAACAGTGCTGCAACAATGTCATTTCTGATTGTGTTATTTGAATCTTCTCTATTTTTTATCTTTATTAGTCCAGCTAATTATCTGCTTATCTTAATACTTCTTTCAAATAAGAAAGTAAGAATTTGTTGATCTTTTGTATGGGATTTTGTATCTCCATTTCCTTTCAATTTTGGTTATTGTCTTCTGCTAGCTTTGAGGTTGCTCTTGTTTCTCTAGGTGAAACGTTAGGTTGTTAATTTGAGATCTTTCAATTTTTTTGTTATGAGGGTGTAGTGCTACAAACTTGCTCCTTAACACTGCATTAGCTGTGTCCCACAAAACCTGGTATGTTGTATCTTTGTTCTCATTAGTCTCAAAAAATTTTTTGATTTTTACCTTAATTTTATTATCTACGCAAAAGTCATTCAGGAGCAGATTGTTTAATTTCCATGTAGTTGTATGGTTTAAGCAATTTTCTTAGTACTGATTTCTACTTTTGTTGTGCTGTGGTCTGACAGTGTGGTTGGTATGATTTTGATTTTTCAGAATTTGCTGAGAATTGTTTTATGGTCAATCATGTGTGCAGTTTTAGAGTGAATGCCATGTGCAAATGAAAAGAATGTATATTCTGTTGTTTTTGGATGGAGAGTTTTATAGATGTCTGTTAGATTCATTTGATCAAGTGTCAAGTGCAGGTCCAGAATATCTTTGTTAGTTTTCTGCCTTGATGATCTCTCTAATACTGTCAGTGGAATGTTGAAGTCTCCAACTATTATGATATGGTTATATAAAGCTCTTTATAGGCCTCTAACAACTTGGTTTATGAATCTGAGTACTCCTGTGTTGAGTGATCATATATTTAGGCAAGTTAGGTCTTCTTGTTGAATTGAGCCCTTTACCATTACGTAACGGTTTTGTCTCTTTTGATTTTTGTTGGTTTAAAATATATTTTGTATAAAATTAGAATAGCAACCCATGCTTTTTTTCTGTTTCCTGTTTATGTGGTAGATTTTTTTCCATCCCTTTTCTTTGAGCCTATGAGCACTGCATGTGAGATTGGTCTCTTGAAGACACCATACCATTGGGTCTTTCTTCTTTATCCGGTTTGCCACTTGTGTCTTTTAATTGGGACATTTAGCCTGTTTACATTCAAGGTTAGTATTGCTATGTGTGGATTTGGTCCTGTCATTGCATTGTTAGCTGATTATTATGCAGACTTGTTTGTGTGGTTGCTTTATAGTTTCACAGGTCTGTGTGCTTAATGTGTTTTTGTAGTGGCCAGTATTGGTCTTTTCTTTCTATGTTTAGCACTCCTTCAATACCTCTTGTAAGGTAGGTCTGGTGGTAATAAGTTCTTTTAGCATTTGTTTGTTTGAGAAAGGATTGTATTTCTTTTTTTTTTTAAAGCTTAGTTTGGCTAGATATGAAATTATTGATTGGAAATTTCTTTCTTTAAGAATACTGAATATAGGCTCCCAATCTTCTCTGGTTCATAGGGTTTCTTCTTAGAGATTTGCTGTTAGCCTGATGGGATTCCCTTTGTAGGTGACCTGCATCTTCTCTCTAGCTGCCTAAGAAAAAATTTTTAGAAGAATTTAGTGTAGTTTAATGGTGTTTATAAAGTCTACAGTAGTGTACAGTAATGCCCTAGGCCTTCACGTTTACTCACCACCAACTCACTGACTCACCCAGAGGAACTTCCAGTTCTGAGAGCTCCATGTCTTACCTGTATAGCCATTGTAAGTGGCAATACAGGTGTACCATTTTTTTTTATCTCTTATTCTAGTTTTACTGTAACTTTCCTGTGTTTCTCTATGTTTAAATACACAAATATTTACCATGTTGCTTGAGATGCTTACAGTATTCAGTACAGTAACCTGCTGTACAGGTTTGTCTAGGAGAAATATGCTACACCATATAGCCTAGGTGTGCTGCAGAAAGCTATGCCATCTAGGTTTGCGTAGGTGCTCTCTGATGTTTGAACAATGATAACAGTGCCTTACAATGCATTTCTCAGAATTTGTTTTCAGGTTTCCATATGCAACACTGAAAAATACTTTAAATATTTTATTTTTTACATTATTATTGTTACTATTATTATTATTAGAGACAGGATCTTGCTCTGTCACCCAGGGTGGAGTGCAGTGGCACAATAATGGCTCACTGCAGCCTCGACTTCTCAGGGATCAAGTCATACTCTCACTTCAGCCTCTTGATTAGCTAGGACTGCAGGCACATGCCACCACAACTGGCTTTTTTTTTTTTAAACCTTTTATAGAGATATGGTATTGCTATGTTGCCCCAGCTAGTCTTGAACTCCTGATCTCAAGTGATCCTCCCTCCTTGGCCTCCCAAAGTGTTGGGACTACAGGCATGAGCCAGTGTTCCCAGAACCAGAATGCATTTTTATTGATGAGTGATATAGTGTTCTGTAAAAGAATGGTATAAAAGATAAAATATCATACATCTGTATAGGGCACTGAATGTTTTCGTTGTTTATATCCTTATTCTGTCTCCTTTTTTCTATTTTAAAATTTTTCATTTTTGCTTGTTACACTTTTTTGTTAAAAACTGAAACATAAGCACACATTAGCATTAGCCTCTGCCTACACAAGGTCAGGATCATCGATATCACTGTCTTCCATTTCCACATGTTGTCTCACTGGAAGGTCTTCTAGGGTAGTAACACACATGGATCTGTCATCTCTCATAACAATTCCTTCTTCTGAAATACTCCTGAAGGACCTGCTTGGGGCTATTTCACAGATAATTTTTTTAATAAGTAGAAGGAGTATACTCTAAAATAAGGACAACATATATAATATAGTAAATACATAAAGCCGGTTACCTAGTCACTTATTATCAAGTATTTTGCACTACACATAATTGTATGTGCTATACTCTTACATGACTTGCAGTATAATAGGTTTGTTACACCAAGATCACCATAAGCAGGTGGGTAATGCTGCATGCTATAATTAAGTTGACTAAGGCGTCACTAGGCAAAAGTTATGGAACCACAAATGTATATGCTGTCTGTCATTGATGGAAATGTTATTCGGCTTATGACTATAGTTTATTTATGATATGATATTATGTGCAAACATCGAGTGTTTTACTTCTTTAATTATGACCTTTAAGCAAACTACATTTTTCTATCTATTCTTAATATTATTGGTAGGTCTTCAAGTAACATTTTCACCATAAGTAAGGAGACTGAGAATTCTTACCTTTATTCCTCTTCAGAGATTATTCAATATGTGCACTATTAAGTAGGATGCTACCTGAGTTTATTTTGTTGTTGTTGTTTAAAAAGAGAGAGATAATTTTTGTTCTTTAAAAGAGAATTTATACACATAATTATAAATATGCCTATCTCTAGCAAGTGAGTACAACTTCAAGATCAGTGGAAACTCATTTTACTAGAATTACAGAAAGAAAAAAAACTGTTTTTACAGCAATGGAGGCACAAAGGGAACATTTAGAAGAAGTGAAATTTGTAAGATGTGAACCTATAAAATGACTGCTTTAATCTTCATTATAATAATCATTGAATGATTTTACTTTTTTCTCACAGGTCTTACGGGCAATATTTTGGTTACAATTGTACATTTCATATTTTTTTAAAGTCAAAAGAGCCCAAAATAGTATTGTGGCATTAGTAATTGGCCAAGTAAATTATACATTGATTTATATTACATTTTGTGTAATATAGAAGATGAAATTGCTGCCTTTTCTAGTTTGAATTAGCTAATTTTTACCCCAGTTTTTTTTCTTCAGCAATACTTTCTGTTTTTCTTTTGTACACTCGATCAGCACAATAGTTATGCTTGCATCATTCTTTTCAGTTACTTTTTGCTACAGATATTACAGCTATACGTGACTTGAAAAATCTCTCTATCAGTGTACACATCAGTAACTCCCAAATGCAAATATCTGGAACCAAGCTAATCAAGATTAATGCATTCACTTAACATATGGTTACAATGTTATTAAAATGCAAATGATTGGTTTCTGCTAATTGTTCAACATCAGAAACAATTAATCAGAGGACTTTTTTCAATTCTAATAGCCTTTGTAGAGTTTACCTCAAGAGATTAACATAAAAGACAAATATGTAAATTTGTCTCGCAAACCTCAGGAGAGACAATCAACTTGAAAGAAAAGTGGAATAATGATTATATATTTATAGTAACAGGAAGAACACTTTTAGTACTATAATTTGCTCATGAATTGTTTTGCACCCAATTTAACTAGACTCCATATAATTACATTTACTGGAATAGCTATTCAAATATAATGGGATTTGGAGCTTTACTTTGAGACAGTCTATCTAGTTGAGTAAATAAAGTGATCCACTGTAGAGGAATAAATAATGTATATTATAACAGTAGAAATAGCAAGGAAGTTTTAAATTGTAAATTAATAAGACAGTTTGACACGTATTTATTGAGCAATTATTATGTGCTAAAACTATTTCAGGTATTTGGACTATATCACAAAACAAATTTCCTTGATTTCATACAGTTTATATTTGTTGATGGCTGTTGTGAAACCCTGGTTCTTGTCTTCTTAATTTAAAATAATTTAAACAGGAGATAATACAGCAAAAGAGATACAGCATAGAGCATATTATTGCAAAAGAGAAAGAATATTTTTAAAATTAGGCGCAGAATAGACAGTAAACCCTGAGAGAGGATTCAGGGAGGACTGCTCATGAGGATGAGACTGCAAAGACTGGCCCTAGAGAGATTCCCTTTATGGGAGTCTTATATGATTATTCATAAGAGGGTGGGAAGAGGTGTTATTAGTAAGCATGTTCTGGGTGGTGTTCTGGGTGAACATGCACAGTAGCTGCACATGTTTGTTCATACATCACATGCTTCATTTGCATCTTAAATCTCTACCCAGGCATGTGGTTTTTACTAGTATAATGAGCAAAGGGTCAGTCAGAGGACAGGTAAAATAAAAATGCACATGTTTTCTATGCAGAAATTCCCTACTGAAGATAGCTTTGCTTGAATGTACTTGATTGCAATGCGAATGCTGGGGCTTATTGTGTTGATGGTGAGGTCACCAAGGTTGCCGCATCCTAAGGACGTGACTACTTCCTTGACTATCTTTCCTGCTTCATATTAATAGGGAGAAACAATTAATAATAAAGGTAATAAATAAGTAGTTTATATAAAATTTAAAATCATAATGTCATGTGTATTAATCATTTTACAATTTTCTGTATTTTATTATGCTTTGCTGTCTTGGGGCCTTAGACACCAGGAGAGGGACTGACTCTTCTTCCCAGGGTTATCTAGTTTTGAGAGATAGCAAACAACTTGCCCAGTAGTGAGTGGTTTTTATATGCAAACTAACCGATTCAGACCCCATATTTTGAACCACTTTCTCTATCTGGCTCTTACACTTCAGGAGACAATATTCCTCTACCATAACTGTCCCAGGCACTGATAACACATTACTAGAGACAGTCCCTATGTCCCAGAGTCTGCTGAAATTATTCAAACCAGCCAATCTTAAACCTGCTTGCCATGACTTTCCCCTGAAACGACAATAAAGGCTCCAACCCATGCCTTTTTCTTGTTCTCATTGCCTCTCGGCTAACCCTGGTACCTCTCCTTGTCACTCTGAGTGATGTAGTGTGCCTCCCTCTCTTGGGATCTGCACCAGATTATCTTTTCCATGCCAGTTGTCTCCTGATATCTTGGTCTTATCATACCTGAATAAAAACAAAACCCCAGGTACATTTTAAAACACAATGGAATAAGATAAATCTAGAGCAATGTCAGGGGAATCAGGAATGTGTAAGCTGGTAGAATTTTATTATGCTGCTTTGTATTGACCTATTTGAGAAGATGATTTTTTAACAAAAACTTTT
The DNA here is from genome assembly GCF_000001405.40 of Homo sapiens. NCBI lineage: Eukaryota > Metazoa > Chordata > Mammalia > Primates > Hominidae > Homo > Homo sapiens. The sequence goes on along the minus strand of NC_000005.10, from coordinate 18,503,104 downwards.
TTAAAAGTTAAATGCATCATCCATGTGGCTATTTGGAGGAAGGGAGTTCCAGTAAGAAGAGATAGCAGTGCAAGACACCTAAGGTAGTATCTTATCTGATATGTTCCAGAAAGAACAAATGGGCCAGGATAACTGGAGTGGAGTAAAAATGCAGCAGGCAGCAGGATATAATAAGTTGGAGGTGAAAGAAGGCAGATCATGTAAGATTTTATAGTCTTTTTACTGACCTTGACTTTTGCTGGGGGTAAATTGGGGAGATATTGTAAGTTTAATATTAAAGGACTTTCTGCCGCTATTAATGAATAGATTAAGATGGGGAAGATGGGGCAAACATAGAAGCAGAGAATCCAGTTAAGGAGTCATTAAATTAACCCAGGTGATAGATGATGGTAGCTCTCATCAGAATAGAAACGGGGAAGCAGAGGTGATTTAAAATACATTAAACAATTTGAAGTGAAAGCCAAAGTGTTTCATTCATTCATTCTTTCACTCCATAGTCATTTATTGAATTATTCTCTGCATGTGTTTTGTTTCTCTGGTAAGCAGACGTAAAATGTAGTGAGATGTGCAAGAGATTTATTGGGATAAATTCTTGCGAACAATGAAAGCAAGAGGGAATGGGGATAAACAAGGAGAGCTTCAGACCAGAATGCAGGTCTGAAACCTGTGCCAGGACAAAAGGAAAGAGGATTACATAGGAAGAGCCACGCACTGCAGTAGAGTTCTGAGAAAGTCTTGGTTGGAGAGTTGCCTCCAGTGGAACCCAGCGTGACAATTGCGCATTAGCGGTGTAGCGTGCAATCTCTCCTAGATTACAAAGTTTCAAGTATTGGAAAATAATATAATCACATCCAAACTCCCAATCTTTTCTTCTCTAGCCTAAATTCTCAGTTTATTTAACTATTTACTAAAAATGGCATCTTAATTCCAATTAATCTCTTCATGAAACAAAATAGTATGTATGAGGTCCATATTGAAATTTGCTGTTCCTTAGTAAACTCCATGCTGTAGATGTATTCAAACCATTAAAAGACACAGTGGGGGCCAGGAGCTGTGGCTCACGCTGGTAATCCCAGCACTTTGGGAGGCCAAGGTGGGCGGATTCATGAGGTCAGGAGTTCGAGACCAGCCTGGCCAACATGGTGAAACCCTGTCTCTACTAAAAATACAAAAATTAGCTGTGCACGGTGGCAGGTGCCTGTAATCCCAGCTACTTGGGAGGCTGAGGCAGGAGAATCGTTTGAACCCGGGAGGCAGAGGTTGCAGTGAGCTGAGATCACACCATTGCACTCCAGCCTGGGCGACAGAGCGAGACTCCATCTCAAAAAAAAAAAAAAAAAAAAAGACACAGTGGAACTGCTATATCTTTGTATAGGAGACTGTTTATCTGTTGTCATAGCTGAAGTTTGGTTTTTTGGGAGAAAAGATTTTGTGAAGTTTGGGAGAGAAGATATATAATCCTGTGTCTATATTTTGGCTTCACATAATTCAAACACATTGTTACATAGTGTTTTTAGATTATGTTCCTCTTGATCTGTACACATTGGTATCTAAATAAAATTAAAATGACTAAGATTTTATGAGTGACAGGCAGTTAAAATTAGGGATCACAGGCTAACTAGAAATATATCTTCATATGTAAATCAATAACTTGTGAGTTGTCCTAGTGGAAGAAATAAAAACCCAAGACATATAATTAAGAATATACACATTATATTGAACTGACTTTGCCATTTCTTTACCACTTGAGTTTGTGAAATGATGTGATGCCATTCTGAATTTTTGTTAACAAATAATATTGATTAAAACATGCTCAACTTATCCCTTATTTGCTATATTAAGAAAGGACTAATGTCTGTGTGTTTTGGGCAAAATTTAATGTTTGAAGTTAATCAATATAATCTCAAAATCAAATATATTTTATCTGTAAACTGTAACACTAAACATATATTATACTTATAATTACCAAAATAATGCATCTTTATCAACCCTTCTAATTTCAAAGACATGTTAAGTATACTTTTTAAATCTATATACTGAATACATCTGAATTTCTATTTGAAAAATTTCTGTTATTGCTATCTATCTGATCATATGGTTTCCTTTTCTAAAGCTGTAATACTCTTTCATGTCACAAGTCTTTGAGATTTTTTTCATCTGCATCAAAAACAGATGCTATCAAATGGCTTAGAGATCAAAGTAAATGGCCATGGATACAGACAGAAAGAGAATTCCTCCTAATAAGGTAATATAATTCCCGCGGGAACATCTGTTCTGAAAATAATTTTGGCAGTATCTAATAGGTGCACTATAGAACAAAATAAGATACTACTTCAGAAAATATTAAAATAAAGATGACAGTGTTTACTCCATAGGCATACATGAATGAGCAGTATTCCTAAACCACTACATATATGTTCAAAAGGAAACTTTTTATGTTTTAGAGCAAAATACGTTTATAATTAAAATAACATATAAAGAAAAATCATTTTCAATACCTCTGTGACCACAATAATGATTTATAATTTTAAGTTGTTTTACTAAAACTCCATTTTATTAATACACATACTATCCTTATTTTTAAGAAAATCATTTAGATTTTTTGCTTTTATAAAAAAATTTCATAATCACAAGAACATTAACAATTTAATATATTTGGGGTTTATAACAAGATCAAATTATATTGGTTTTATTATGATATGTGTATAGAAAACATTTTATATCTTGTTGATGTAAAGCACATTTTAAAGACTTTTTGGTCACTTTCAATATTTATTTTAAGCTTGGGCCTGGCCAATTACTTAATATATTTTATTTTAAAAACTCAATACTTTTTTATTTTTACCAGGTTTTGCTTAGGAAAGCACTTAAATGTCTTCTTAAAATTATAAAAATAGAACAAATACAAATAAAAATAAAATTTACAAAGCAATATGCAAGGAATAGCCAAGATAAAACAGAAATAAACAATACTTTTATAATGTCAATTTTGTTATTAAAGCAAAAAAAACTGTGAGCTAAAATAAGATGTGGCACATACTGAGAATTTAAAATAAAAATAAAAAAATTATGTAGTCAGAATATTTAAAAATCAAAGTGAGTTATTCATAAACCATGTAAACATATATGTAAATATATGTTAATTAAATGTAAACTATAAATGTAATATCAAACAAAACTGAAATGTAAAATATAAATTTGAGTATATAAAATATAAAAGAAATATGCCATGTGTTTTTTCTCATTTTCTCATTATCTTTTACTTTCTCTCTAAAACCTTAGGGATGATTCATCCTCACACCTATTTTACAGATGAAATAGCTGCATTTTAAAGAGGATAAGTGTAAAATTCATGTTAACACAGAAAATAAATTGTGAATTCAGAATTTTAAACTAACTTTGACCATAGTCAGTATATGCTATCAAATGGCTTAAAGATCAAAGTACCTGGCCTTGGAATACAGACAGAAAGAGAATTCCAGCAGTTTGTTAATTCTTTGAACTTCTCTTTATTTAATAAAATGTTTTATTTTTTCCTTACATTTTAATGAAGGCTAACTGACAACTTAAGTAATAACATATCTGTGTCTATCTATTTTTCACGTATATCTGAAAGACATTGATTTTTGTGACTGAGCTAACATTGTGCTAAAACTTTTGGTGAATAATCCATGAGTGAATATAGTTCACATCTTTACTTTTAAACTACACTATAATGGCTTTGAGAACTAAAAAGACCAAATAAAAAACCGGCTTTGATTGTTGGAGCTGGCACAATGTTTTCCTGGAACAGGTGGGACACTTGAAATCAGCATACAGTTTTATAGTGAAATTGTGCCATCAGTTCTACAACGATAAGAAGTGCTATCACAAGCACAGCACACATTCGAATATGAAGACATTACTTATGTAATGTCTTCATATTCTCTAGAAAAATCTACACAGAAATCAAAATTCCAACCAATTGCTGACTTGTTGGGATGAAATTAAAATGATAGACTTAAATAAATTAAATGTTAAACATAACCTCATAAAGAAATTAATTCATTGAACTCACATGAAGAATCATCTTAACTCTAAAAATAAATCACACTTAACCTTTCTGTGTTTTTTACTAGGATTCCATGACACATGTTCTGATTGACACATTATTTAATTGTTTAAATATTTCAAAGTAAATTTTATCCCAGAGCCATACAAGAATATATTACAAGAATATTCACATTTTCTATGGTTCTATTTAAATTTGCATTTTAATTTTTCTGCTAATCTAACATCCTTAACAGAGACTCACATATCACAAAAACATACGTACTTCATTCTGTTCACCTAGACTGTTACCATACAAATTTTAATATATACATAACTCATTACATTTATTGTATATAACATATTTAGTTTGGACACAACATAAAAGAAAATTCAGTTCACTTATTTCATATAGAAGCATTATTTCTAATGAAGGCTGAATAGCTTCAAGGCTGACAGTAGTTCAAGTAGAGCATAATGGGAAATCTGTAGCCCACGGTTTAAAAATATGCCCTCCCTCTAGCTTGAGTCACATAAATCTATAGCAAAAAGTAATAATTAGTTGTATACATCTAGATATCAGACATTTTCAAATAAAATACAGATTTTTGGAAAGTGTGAACTGTGTAACAGCATTCTCGTTCTCATCCCTCATTCTCATTTTGGAAACATGTTGGAACTGAGTATTGGTTACTTCATTTGTATGAATAAGTGCTCTCCAGTTGTCACCCTATGGATTCCTTTATGAACTTACTCTATTCTATAGGCATTTGGAACAGTGATCTGTAAAATGAATATAAGCTTTAGAATACCTAAGTTATACAGCACGCTTGATTATAAGCATGCTTCAACAAAAGCAAATTGGTTTTACTAAATAATACTATCTCATTATTTTAAACAAATTGATAAACTTCATTAGCTTTATACCTTTGTTTGATATTAATATAGCTATTCTTGCTAATTTCAGAAATTAATATTTATTTTTAGCCTATGTATGTCATTGAATTTAAAGTGAGTTTCTTGTAAACACCATATATACTAAAGCCAATTTTTAAAACTCCTTTCTGCTAATTTTTTCTTTTTGTGTGGCATTTATACCATTTATACTTATGGTAATCATCACAACATTAAGAATTAAGTATATTATTTTATCATTTGCTTTCTGTTTTTCTCTGTTTCTCATTTCTCTTTTCTTGCTTTTCTGTGGGTTGCTTGAACATTTTTTAAGATTCCTTTTTTATTTCCTTATAAAATTTTTGAGTTAATCTCTTCGTAGAGTTCCTTTAGTAATTCTCTGGTATTACAACATACGAATTGGGCTTATTACAGTCTACTTGTATCAGGATTTGCCATTTCAAATGAAACGTGAAAACCTGACTTCCATTTATGTCCTTTCACCTTCCAAACTTTTAAATACAATTACCTTGGGTATCAGATGATGTTATAATTTAGATTTAAATCATTATATATGATTTAGAAAATGCATAAGGAAGATAATAGTCTATTGTGTACACTCTCATTTTTTCTCATTCTATTGTTTGTCATCCCTTCTGATAATGTAAGACTTCCTTCTTTAAACCATTTTTTTTTTCTGTTTGAAGAACTTCCTTACCCATTCTTTAAAGGTAGGTTTGGTTACATCAAATTCGATTAGGTTTATTTCATTTGTTTTTTTCTCTTTCATTTTTGAAGGATAGTTTAACAGATACAGAATATATGGTTGGTAGTTCTTTACTTTTAGCACTTAAAACATGCTCTACCACTGCTGACTTATCTCCATAATTTCAAAAGAGAAATCTGCTGTCCTATGAGCCATTTAAATTGGTATTTAACTCTAGATAAAATGTTGGGTTTTTTGGTTGTTTTCAATTTTTTCTTTGATTTTTAGTTTTGAGAAGTTTAATTATGGTATTTGTGAATGCAGACTTCAGGGGATTTTTCTCATTTGCGGTCCATTCAGCTTCTTAAAACTGTGATTTTATGTATTGTGCCAAATTTGAGATATTTTCAGTGATTATCCCTTCCAATACTCTTCCTGACTTACTTGTTTCCTCTTCTACTTCTGTGACTTGAGTAGTACAAACATTGTATCTTTGTCATTATCCCCTAGGTTCCTGGAATTCCTGAGACTCCGCTTATTCCAGTTTTTGAAAATTTTTGTTTTTGTAATTTTTAGTTCTATAATTTATAAAAATAATATATTTTTTCCCAGAAGTTTCTAGTTTTTTCACTTGTTTCAATAGAATCTATAACATCTTGGTGAATAATTTTTATGGTAGTTGCTTTAATGGCCTTCTCTGATCATTCTAACCTCTGATTAATCTCAATGTTGGCAGCAATTGATTGTCTTTTCTAATTCAAGTTCTAGTGTTCCTGGGTTTTGGTATGATGGATGATTTTCAGTGATACCCTGAACATTTTAGCTATGATGTTTGGAGTTTTTAGTCCTATCTATTCATTTATTTTAAAATCTCAGCAGTCATTCATCCTGCTAAGTTTTTTCACTCAGGTCATGGCCTATTTCTGTGGGGTGTTGTTACATTTCAGAGTCTCCATTGTATTAGTTTGACCTGGGTAATTTATGTTCTACTACTGGTCCCTGTCCATCCTGGTTGAGAGAGCATGTCCATCCTGGTTGAGAGAGCAGAAGCTTCTCCAGACCAGACCAGCCATTGCATCTAAGAGGAGTAAGAGTCTTTAGCCAGCAAAAATGAGAAGTGCTTTCTTAGCTGTTGCTTTTACTGGCAGGATACACCCTTGCCTGTGGGAGACAAAGAACTTCTTATGATCTGGACCTTTGCAGAGATGAGATCATTCTTGCTTATGCCTTGGATGTACAGTGTCACTGAATGAGAGAGAGGAGTCTTACATGTGACAGGAAAAGAGAATGCTTCACTGGCTGCTTATTGTCAGCAAAGCATGCAATCAGTCTTCCTTGCTAATTCTGCCAGGCTAACCTGATGTTATTGTCAGGACATCTGTCTGTACAGCACAGAAATGAGCTACCTAGACTACATTCTGTTGCTAGATTACATGTCAGAGAATGGTAGGACTACATCACCTTCTTCCATTGGCCATACTAACCTTCAGAAAGTAGAAAATATTTCAAGATGCCTTGCTTTGATTTTGTCCCTCCAGTATTTGAGTCTCTCATCAATTTTCTGTCCTCTCTTCACTTTTCAGAATTCTCCTTTGGTTATCTCTTGAATTATTTCTATGGATTATAGGTGTACTTAGAAATGAGGAGCATGGAAAAATGAGTCTGTGTCATCTTGGATGGACCAAATATAGCATTGTTTGTCTATCCTTTAAAAACCAACTTTTAACATGTTTGTTTTATTTTGTTTTGTTTTTCACCTGGTTTTTCAAAATACGAACTATAGTCATAATTGATTTATAGAAAACCTAGATTTAAATATATTTGACAATATAATTATAATGATGCTGGATACCCATTAATTGTTTTTGGGGTATTATTTCCTATTTTGGTTATTTTGAGTTTTTAAGGGGGTTAATCCATTACATAAATGTGAGAAGCATTACTTGATACATTAGATTCATTAAGACATTGACTTTCTCAAGATATTAAATCATATTACAGTAAGACTTTGCTGACCTGAGAGACATTTAATCTCTTTAAGGTGACTCGACATTACTTCTCCATTCTACCATGCATACATTTTACAGCTGAACTCTCAAAAATCAATAATGCTTTTCTCATTTCAAGTGTCTTGTGAGTCATATTACTGGAACCATCTCTTATATATAATACAATGTTTAACCTTACTAGTCATGCTATATATAGTTTTTGTTATCCATTTTTCATACAGGGTCAAAAAGGTTAAATAAGCTCTTGTGGTTGAAGAGAGACTGATGCACATTTCTTTCATTTTATTTCTCCTACTTCTTCCTTAACACATTTTTATGAATAAATCTGTACAGAAAATTTTTTAAACTAAAGTTTGTGATTATCCCATCTTAGGAAACATGAAAAGGACAATAAATATTAATTCTACTTGTAAACTCTATGACTATTACAATGATAAGAAAGTAGAAACAACCACTTTTACTTATAATAGATGTCTACTATTATGTCTTACTTGCTAGTATTCAGTAATCTCCATTTTCTAAGCATGATCACATAAAGGTAAGCAGTATAGAAAGGTTTTTCATCAACTGTATGATATTGTCTCATCTTCAGAGTCAGAGGAGGCTAATGTTAATTTTGGATTAAACAGCAGTTTCAGTGTGAGCTCTTCCTATTTATTTAAATTTAAGCAAAGCTTAGATTAACTGATGTTCTGTATGGCTTCTGCAACACATACTTAATGAGCTGTCTAGTAGTAGCTTTCCTTCTGTTACACCTATGTTATTTTCTCCTATTAGTTCAGTTGAATGCTTACCAAAAATTAGTTGTGTTCGTTCTCAAACCTGGCTATAAAAGTTACACTTTTTATTTGCCATTATGTATTTTATATAAATAGCAAATTCATAATCTATGTATACAAATAGAATACTTTGACAATGTAAAAAATTGTTAATACTGGTTATACATTTATAAATTTAGTCAATAAAATTGCTACTAAATTAGGTATTTGTAAGGGAATATTAAAATATGGGAGAAGGTTATATAAGTCTATAGGATTATGTTCCTGATTGGCTTCATAGATGTCTTTAAAATGTTTATTTATACTTTGAGGTATTAACATTGAAATTGGAAATCAGGCTTTGCATTTCTTGTGTAGTTTAAACTCAAAAAATGGAGTACACAAACCAATGAACCTTGTCCTAAAAGAAATAATTTTTAGTTAAAACACAGTATCTATTTATTGTGCATTCTTATTAAAAATATCCCATTTAACTATTTTCTTCCATTAATCAAATTTGAAAACAGGACTTTTATTATATTTTATCTGGATTTTCACTGGCATTATTGCTTAATATGTAATAAACTTTCTGTACATAGAAATTTGAATATCTAATAAACTTTCTATACATATAAATTTGATTTCTATTAATTCTATAATAATGGTCACAGAACAATATTTATCTATTGTTTAGATATACAGTGGTACCTTAAATCTTATGTTCTGCATTCTAATACTGGACCGAAATAAAGAGCACATTCCAAAATGTGGAATTACTGCATCAAAAAGCACATCTATTTTTGAAGTTCTAATACCTATTGCCAGACTAATATTCAGAAAGCATATATCAGTCTATACTGAAAGTAGTTTATAAGTATAGAGATTTGGAGTTGGTATCTAACAACTTGGCCAATATGATTGGTCTTCCTCATGGTTTTCTGATTTGTATCAAGCCCAGGCATATTATTGAACCTCAAGACAATTAGTCACATTTCCTAAGCTCCTCTGATGTTGACCTAAACCAGAGATTTGCTTTTCTCTAGTTCCCATCTCTGTAGCCTTTATGGGTACTGAAATTTATTCCTATCCAGCCAAACTACCTATTTCCCATACCTAGTCTTAGATTTATGGTCCACTGTTATGCTGATTGTAGTTTCCATTTCATAAACAAAAATGATTTGTAAATCATATTTCAGATTCTAAACTACTGCCTTCCTCACATTGCAGGTACAAACATCTTTAAGCACTAATTATGACCCATTTTTACACCATGTGTAAACCTACTACATCCTTCATATGCCATAACTTTTTCAAATCTCCAATTTTCCCAACATCAATCTCTGTCAAGTTCATTTCTTGAAATGTTCCTGGGTCACTCTTCTACTCTTCTCCTTCTCCTTCTTTTCCTTCTTTTTTTTTTTCTTTTTCTTTTTTCTTTTTTTTTGACAGATTCTCACTATGTAGCTCAATCTGGAGTGCAATGGTGCGATCCTGGCTCACTGCAACCTCCACCTCCAGGGTTCAAGCCATTTTCCTGCCTCAGCCTCCCGAGTAGCTGGGATTACAGGTGCCTGCCACAACGCCCAGCTAATTTTTGTGTTTTCAGTAGAGAGGCAGTTTCACCACGTTGGCCATGCTGGTCTCGAATTCCTGACCTCAAGTGATCCGCCAACCTTGGCCTCCCAAAGTTCTGGGATTACAGGCACCGAGTCACTGCACAGGACAGATCTCCCTCTTTATGTTATCTCTCAACAGGGGATCCACCTTTCTCCTAACAAGGCTTAACCATAGGTCAGTTGTAAAACTTCACAAACATTCAAATTTAACAGTTTTCAAGTATGCATATAAATCCATCACATACAAAACAGATGTTGGAATTAAAGAATCAAAAAAAGAGGCTGGTTTCACTGCTATAACAGTTCATGACTTATTAGGTAATAATTTTACTGATTTTTTCTCGTACTGATTTTAGTATTTTGAGAAGATCAAAGCCTCACATAAGATAGACAATAGTAGGTGAAATTTTCAGAGCTAGAAAAGATTACTCTATAATTAGAAATGTGCAGTGGATTTTAAAACATAACAAAGAATGTGTGAACAGTAAATTACAAGAAAAAAATAGGTTTCTTTTTCATTTCCCCACAGGCCTGTTGATTCAGCCTCTTAAATTAGCATTGTTGATATATGAAAATATTTCCTTATTCAAAGAATCTTTCCTAATCAGCTGAAGGATAATGTCAGAATCACTGCTCCAAAATATTGGTCAGAGTCTTTCACAAGTACATTCTTTCAGTTTTCAGCCTACAGAGTTTAGCAAACTGCTTCAAATCAACAATGAAAGAAGTAAGGACAACAACAAAAAAAGTATGCATCATAACCTACCTTCATAACCTGAAGTTAAAATGAGTCTCTTATTTACAATTCCCCATGGACCCACCCTCACTTACCATTTTGGTTTTCCAGTGTCATTTATCCTTAATTTTACTCATTTCATATGAGGATTTTAGAAATTCTTCATATCAACGCTTTTCTGTCTCTTTCCTGTTAAGTACTATGTGCCATGCAATTCATTCATGTATTTGACACTTGCTCATTTACTCTACAAATATTTTTGAATGTTTTCTATGCAGTAGACCCTATTCCAAACAAAGAGAAAAGAGTGATTATCAATAACAGTATTTCTTGCTCTCCTGCTGCTTCTATTACGAAGTGTGAATAAAAATAACAACAGAAGATAAAATCAAATAGTTAAAGCTACCATGTAGGAAATTAAAACAGGGTATAGGCTGAAAGTGACTAGGTGGTTGATTTTGATTGTTGTAAAGAACTCTCTCAAGTGGTAATATTTAAGCAGAAATATGAAAAAGAAAAAGGATTTGGCCTGAAAACATAAAGGAAAAGAACATTCTTTGGGAAAGGAAAGTTTATGTTTAGTGAATAGGCCATACGTTTCCCCAAAGCTTGGTTAAGTTAATGAAAGCAAAGAAAGCCAGTCTAGCAGAAGCATAATGGTTGAAAAAAAGAGTGATGGAAATTTAGAGTCTAGTTGGTAGGCATGGGCTGGGTCATGGAGAGTTTGAAAACTCAGCGAAGAATCCTGAACTTTTACTGCAGTGTAAAGGGGAACCAACAGAAGGTTTTAATTATGGGAAGGAGTGACATAATATGAGTTCTGTTTTACATAGAATTTTGACAGCTAGCTAGTGAATTATTTGTAGGGAGGGGAGCCAGGCTGGTGTGAAAGGAGTACAAATTAATATTTTGGATGAGATATTGTCCATTCACAGTTGGAAGAATAACATATACAATACATTTCATGACTTGCAGGATTTTACAGTCCATTCAGGGTGTTTGACTATCTCTCTATGATAACTACCTATGCAAACCTTTTTGGTTTAAAAGAGCCATTTCTCCCTCCATGCCTTCCTGGTTCCACTCCACACGCTGTTACTTCTCCCCGCACCTGCTTTGTAAGTCAGTTCAAGGGGTCAATCTCCTGTCTTAAGTTTCCGTAGCATTTTATGTCCATCACTCACATGAAACTAAGCACAATTTTCCTTAAAGAATATCTCATTAAAATACTAATTATAAATATTCTTAAGAAAAAAATCAGAAACACTCTTGCTTTTCCACAGACTCACAAAGATGCCTTGCAGATAATCATGCTTTACTAATGAATGTTCAGCAAATGAAGGGCATGGTTATAGTGGCAAGAGTTGCAATACAAGATGGCAGTTAAAAGCTGAGTGTGTAGTAGGAGGAAGAGTCCATGACCTGCAGGAGAGCACCATCTCCTCTTGGGGCCAAAAGACAAGGCTTTCTATTACTTGGTATATCTTGCCTGAAGTTAGAGAGACTCCAACAGTTGGAGAAGGCTGGTGTGATAATGTTGGCGAATGTTTTACCATGGCTATCCCAAGTGATCGCTTCTTTCCTCTCCGACTTCCGTCCCATTGCTCACTCCACCCCAGTTGCATTTGCTTCTTTCCTATTCCTTAAACATGTCAAGCATTTTCCATATCTTTGCACTGACTGCTCTCTGATGATTTTACCAAGAAGTGCATTTATCTGTTCTCCCACCTTATTCAGTTTGCTGCACAAAAGTCACCTCGTCAGAAAGATCATCCCTGCTTATATGTATAAAATACCTTATTCTATCCATAATCCCTCATCTTATTTTTTCCACCCTAGAACTTGACATATTTAATTTTTGTTTGTTTATCTGTTTCCACTAGCATGTAAGTTTTATGATATCGATGGCTTTGCCTTGTCTCTTCAACCTATACAACGCCTATTTTATTGTACATACAATACTCTTAATATTTGCTGAATGAGTGGCTGAGTGGATGGATGCATAAAGGTGACCTCTGTGTAACACTCTAAAGATTTAATGAGAGTTTGGGACAAAGAAAGGATAAAAGGAAATTCTAGACAAATTTATAAGCATCTTTATAAGCATATTCAGGGTACTCCAGAGTGTTCATTGTGTATAAATAAGGCGCCAGGGTAGGGGGGGATTACAAGAGATAAAAATGTATCGGAATTAGATAAATAATGTGCTAATATGCTTTGGTTTCAAGCTGAAAATAATTCACTAAAATTCACTAAATTGGTGTACTGAAGTGACATCAGGTTTATATTTCAGAAAGAACCATCTGCATCATCGTGGAAACTAGAAACTTGAATTAAAATTGATCAAATTCAGTGGTAATTGGCTCACTTTAATTGTTCACTACAATACAAGTGTATGGAGCCACCTTTTTCTGTTCAATTTCCACAGATGGCATTCTGCTCTCATAAATCACTTTTTAAAGAAATAATTACAAAGGCTCTATCACTCATGAGAGTAGTGTCAGCTGCCTGGTCAATAGACAATATACTCCAGAGAAACAACTCACTGTAGAAATGCATGTTCAAGAAATGATCTGAAATTTTTCTTATAAAAATTGTGAGTTATCCTAAATATTGGATAATGGCTGTCAACAAATCTGATATAATTGCTTTAGATTAATGCTTTTCAGAAAAATCATTTTTTCTTGGATGGTTTTATTGAAAATAAAGTAAATTGAT